>NC_000005.10:151856198-152156515 GCF_000001405.40 Homo sapiens | reverse complement strand
TCAACACCCCTTCATGCTAAAAACTCCCAATAAACTAGGTATCGATGGAATGTATCTCAAAATAATAAGAGCCATTTATGACAAACTCACAGCCAATATCATACTGAATGGGCAAAAACTGGAAGCATTTCCTTTGAAAACCGGCACAAAACAAGGATGCCCTCTCTCACCACTCCTATTCCACATAGTATTGGAAGTTCTGGCCAGGGCAACCAGGCAAGAGAAAGAAACAAAGGAGTATTCAAAAAGGAAGTCAAATTGTCTCTGTTTGCAGATGACATGATTGTATATTTAGAAAAACCCCATCGTCTCAGCCCAAAAACTCCTTCAGCTGATAACTTCGGCAAAGTCTCAGGGTACAAAATCAATGTGCAAAAATCACAAACATTCCTATACACCAATAATAGACAAACAGAGAGCCAAATCATGAGTGAACTCCCATTCACAATTGCTACAAAGAAAATAAAATACCTAGGAATACAACTTACGAGGGGTGTAAAGGACCTTTTCAAGGAGAACTACAAACCTCTGCTCAAGGAAATAAGAGAGGACACAAACAAATGGGAAAAAATTCCATGCTCATGGATAGGAAGAATCAATATCATGAAAATGGCCATACTACCCAAAGTAATTTATAGATTAAATGCTATCCCCATCAAGCTACCATTGACTTTCTTCACAGAATTAGAAACAACTATTTTAAATTTCACATGAAACCAAAAAAGAACCTGTATAGCCAAGACAATCCTAAGCAAAAAGAACAAAGCTAGAGGCATCACACTACCCAACTTCAAGCTATACTACAAGGCTACAGTAACCAAAACAGCATGGTACTGGTACCAAAACAGATATATAGACAACAGAACAGAACAGACGCCTCAAAAATAACACCACACATCTACAACCATCTAGTCTTTGACAAACCTGACAAAAGCAAGCAATGGGAAAAGGATTCCCTATTTAATAAATGGTGCTGGGAAAACTGGTTAGCCATATGCAGAAACTTCCTTACATGGACCCCTTCCTTACACTTTATTCAAAAATTAACTCAAGATGGATTAAAGACTTAAATGTAAAATCTAAAACCATAAAAGCCCTACAAGAAAACCTAGGCAATACCATTTAGGACATAGGCATGGGCAAAGATTTCATGACTAAAACAACAAAAGCAATTGCAACTAAAGCCAAAATTGACAAATGAGGTCTAATTAAATTAAAGAGTTCCTGCACAGTGAAAGAAACTATCATCAGAGTGAACAGGCAACCTACAAAATGGGAGAAAAATTTTGCAATCTATCCGTCTAACAAAGATCTAATATCCAGAATTTACAAAGAATTTGAACAAATGTACAAGAGAAAAACAATCCCACCAAAAACTGGGCAAAGGATATTAACAGACACTTCTCAAAAGAAGACATTTATGTGGCCAACAAACCTATGAAAAAAAGTTCATCATTACTGGTCATTAGATAAATGCATATCAGAACCACAATGAGATACCATCTCATGCCAGTTAGAATGGTGATGATCAAAAAGTCAGGAAACAGCAGATGCTGGAGAGGATGTGGAGAAACAGGAAAGCTTTTACACTGTTGGTGGGAGCGTAAATCACTTCAACCATTATGGAAGACAGTGTGACGGTTCCTCAAGGTTCTGGAACCAGAAATACCATTTGACCCAGCAATTCCATTACTGGGTATATACACAAAGGATTATAAATCATTCTACTATAAAGACACATGCACACGTATGTTTACTGCAGCACTATTCACAATAGCAAAGACCTGGAACCAACCCAAATTTCCATCAATGATAGACTGAATAAGGCAAATGTGGCACATATACACCATGGAATACTATGCAGCCATGAAAAAGAATGAGTTCATGTTCTTTGCAGGGACATGGATGAAGATGGAAATCATAATTCTCAGCAAACTAACACAGGAACAGAAAACCAAACACTGCATGTTCTTACTCATAAGTGGAAGTTGAACAATGAGAACACATGGACACAGGGAGGGAACATCACACATTGGGGCCTGTCGGGGAATGGGGAACAAGGGGAGGGATAGCATTAGGAGAAATACCTAATGCCTACGGGGCTTAAAACCTAGATGACAGGTTGATGGGTACAGCAAACCACCATGGCACATGTATACCTATGTAATAAGCCTGCACGTTCTGCACATGTATCCCAGAACTTAAAGTATAATTTAAAAAAGTAAAATCTCACTTTATGCACAAACTGTAATATAATATTGATTCTCCACTCTCCCCTCCCCACACATTGGTCAAATATCATATAAAGTTTATGAACTGAGGGATTTATAATTTATGCTTATGCTAATTCTTAATTCTTAAAATGTCAGTGGTATCATTTTAGCTCAAAGACAGAAATACCCTCCCTCCTTCCTTTGTTGATCCTATGGTAAAATTGACTTTGAATTACATAAGTTCTGAAGTATGCATGGTCTTCAGGAATGTGTTCCTCAGGTAAAATTATTATCTTCTACATTTTGTAGTTGAGTAAACTGAGGTAGTAATGTGGGTTAAGTTATCCAGAGTCACAGAAGCAAGTGGCAGAGCTGGCATGTGAGCCCAGATTGACTTCAGATCTGTGCAACTGAAAAAGAAAGGCCAGCTGCCTTGGGGTGAGCCCAGGATTATTTGTCAACTATTTATCACAGAAAGCATGTCACTTCCTCTGTAACTGGTGTGTTTTAATTAGTGTCAAGATTAATCAGCAACCCCAACATTATCCTATTTTAGACTGTAGTCACATTACAAATACTTATATGTATACAATATATGCCAGTGGTGTCTAATTCAAGTTTATACACCAGCAATCTTTTCTTTACTGCTTAATTTCACCATACTTCTATCTGCAGTTATCGAGTTAAATATAACCTATATTCAGAAACACATGGCCAGAGAAATGAGCAGTGGTATTCACATAACTATGAGGCATTGGCTGCAGTTTTCAAATGAACCCAATCTTCCCAATCTGTTTGAAGCAAATTTTCCTGTTATGTCAATACAGTTTTTCCTTCCAGGAGTGGGTTACCATTGGAGCATGTATCATATGACTTGTGGAAAGGAGAAAGAATGGAAACATTTTGTGTGACAGACTATTCACTGAATGTTCTACATGGGTTATTTCATTTAATCCTCATAGCAAACCTTCACAGTAAGTCCATTTGTCATTTATGTATTTATGCCAGTGTGTGTACACACACACACACATATAAAAAGCAGAGTACAGTTCAAAACCTGGTTTTCTGATTCCAAATCCCAACAGTGAAAAACACCGCTCTAAATTTCCTTCCCAGGATGGTTTGACTCCTGGAAACATTGCTAGACTTGGTAGAGCGGCAGCACCAGTCTATCTGGTAACCTTAAACACGAGCAATGGGTATCTTCCCTGTTAGAGATGGGATATGTTCTCCAACCCAGCTGAGAGCAATAATTCAGAACAATAAATGTGAGAGAGCAGAGCTTTTCCAACTTTCATGCATGCAAAAATCACCTGGGACCTTGTTAACAAACAGGCCTTGATTCAGCAGGTCTAGAGCAGAGTCTGGGATTCCAAATTTCTAACAAATTCTTAGGCAATGCTCATGCTGCTGATCTGTGGCACACATTCAACCAGCAAGGTTTTAGGGGACAGTATCAAGATTACAACACCAATGGCATTCAGAATTATAATCCTTGTAAAGAAAGCTTTTTTTAAAAAAAAAGGAGGCAAAAAGTTATGCATTTAGATTAAAATATGCAATTGTGTATGTAAAAAATGATGATCTTGATGATGAAAGTAACATTTATTGGAGACTTACCATGCATCAGACACTGTTACAAGGCCTTAATGTACAATAATTCACTTAATCTGCACAACGCCTCTTTTGAAATGAATACTAGTGTCATCCTATTTTATAGAGGAGAAAACTGAAACACAGAGAGAGGAAGGTAACATGCTCATACTTATTATTTAATATTGAGCCAGTATTTAAACCCAGGTGATCTTGCTCCAAAGATGGGTTTGACACTTGAGTCCATAAGAAGGGCCTAACACTTTCAGTTAACCACAAACTCAGGGAGGGCCAACAATGTGTGCCAGTGGCTACCAGCAAATGAAATGATCTTGGCAATGTTGCTAGACTTGATAATTTGATAAACAAAAAACACAGAACATAGGTGAGCAAACTTAGCCATGGGCACCAAGAATAATACATTCAGTTCAGAGTCACAGCAGGAAACAGAATTCACCACAATGGTGCAAATAAAGACATTTTAATAAAGGAGCCACTGCTAGAAGCCCAGATAGGCTTAAAGGGCAAACAAGATGCTGAGTCACTTGGAGACCAGCAGAAGGGGAAAGCCATTAACACCGTAAGGCTGAAAGGGCATCAACGGTAGGGATGGTGTCATCCTTTTCCAGTGAGAGCCAGATTTATGCCAACAGGAACTAGAGAAATAGAGGGGTGCCAGTGACTCCCAGAGAGGCATGCTGAATCAAGAAAGGAGTGGGGAGAAGTACCCTGTCCTCTGTCTCCTCCTGCCTTCCAGTTGCCTTCCTCCGTTTCCCATCAGCATAACCCAATATAGAACCAACCAGCAAAGGAGCCTGGTGAAGTAACCCAAACGAGTCAATCTGCCACAGTAGGGAACAGGACAGAAAAGAATAGAAATGGATGTGAAGAGGAGGGGTAAATGGAGAATAACCAGCACATGTGGGAAGGAATCTGGAAACTCTTCTGTGCAGCACAGTTTAGGCAAATGTGGGTATTTATGGCCAAGGAGTGACAATCTGGTGGAACATATTTACCACATTACAACTTGATGGGTTGACACATACAGAAGAGAGGAGGCATTCCACACTGCTCCAGTGGACAACACAATGAGGAGAGGATTAAACATGCATGTAGATTAGAACCTGATATAAAGAAATGTCAAACACACATGGAAATGATTGTCTTATAGAGCACTGAGCTTGCCATCACAAGAAATCTTCAAGCATAGAGCAGAAATTGCCTGTTGCAGGCTTTATAGAAAATATTCCCATATAACAGTGGGTCTAGATGACCCCTACAGTGTTTTCCAACCTAAGATCCTATAAATGTGTGATGTTACGGCAGGCCCAGCCAGTCTGATCTCACGGGAGATCGCTGAGTCAAACTGTGCCAGAAGCACAGCCTCAGGACTCTGAGTGATGCATAGCCAGTCTGTTCCTTCACCTCTCCCTGACATTGGGAGTAATGTTAATACATCCCTATATGCGTCCTGACAGCTGGAGCCTCCTTTCTCATAACAATGATAACCCCTGACCCCTCTGGAGGGCTCTTGCTCCTTCTCAGTGAGTGTATTGCTAAGAGCATCACATTTCATCATTTGTGTATTATTCAGAGGGGTCTCATGCTTACAGCACGTGAAATGAGCATCTATTTGAGGTATAAAATTAATCTCTCTAAAATGTATATATCGATATTATTCAACAAGACAAGTCATTGGCCCTGTCTCCACAATTGTGTGACTCTTAAGGTTAAGGACAAGGGATATGGTCTCAGATAGACCTGAGTCCAAATTTTGGCTTCAGTACTTAATAAGTGTGTAGTTACAAATTCCTTGGCTTTTTTAAACCTCTAATTCCGCTTTTACAAAATGGGATGTTAATAGCAATAGCTCAAAATAATTAAGTGACAGAAAACACCTAAGACATACTAAATACTAAATGATAGCAATTATCATCATAATCATCATCCAAACAGTCAATAAAACACTCTAGGTCCTGGAGAAAGGGTGAAACACCAGTCAGAGAGGAAAATAACAGACAAGGAGTTGAGGCCTGTTTTCAAGTCCTGCATCTGTTTTCCATCTCTTTGTGTGTCCAAATATCCATTTCTCCAACTTTCACTATTTCCTCTTCATTGGAGAGGATGTAGTAACCCTTGCCCTACTTAGTAATCTCATGAAAGAACAAAAAGATGCTAAGGAAATTACCTGCTCCAGGTGTCACAAACTCAAATGCTTACAGGGTCCAGGCAGCAAATTGAAATGAGCCAAGCGCATAGGTGGAAATAAAGTCTACTGGGAGCAGAGGGCCCTGAAAACCACATACCTCATCTTTTAAATGGTGGCAAGTTGCTACTTAATTCCAGCTACCTGTTACCAGTTGCTAGGATTTTCCAGAAAGAATTCAATATCTAGAGTTTTCCATGAAGTCTCTGAAGGTTTAAATGTTGATGCCTAATTCAAAAGTTAAAAACTCTCTATTCGCCAAACAAAATCCATCTGTGAATACCAATTTAGGATTGCTAATATAATACAATTTTATCTCCTTTTGTAATGCAGGAGAAAATAGAGGCACACCAAGGTCTAGCAATGTGCCCAAAGTCACACAGCCAGTTCATATTGCTGAGGATGAAATGACATCATAGGTTTTTCTCCCTGCTCAGAAGCTCTTTGCCACCCTCCATTTGGCATTTCCAAGGTGCCTTTTATTATCATCTATGGTCATATGTGCATATATTTGTTCCCCCGGTAAGCTCTTTGGAGCCATTTCCCATGTCTTGCTCTGCCTAGTATTGTGTGTCTCTGCCTGCACTGATCATAGTTCAATGTGAGAAATGCAAGCTCAGTTATAATTTGTCCAGTGAATGATAGGCACAGCATGACAGCCCATCTGTGTCCTGAAGGCAGGGCTTACAAAGGTTCAGTTGTGAGGGATAACCTTCTACTGAGGGTCATTTTCTAAACAGCAAAATACATAGATGTCATCACAATGTTTTATAGTCTAAAAGATAGTTTTATTTGGAAAAACCCCACACTTTTAGGTAGACAAAATGGTAAATTTTGTTGAGCACTTCTAGATGTGAGGCCTGAATCAAAGAGTTTATATGAATCATTTTATCTTTACAACAATCCTATGAGGTAGATATTATTATTATAATTCCCATTTTGTAGGTCAGGAAACTGAGGCACAGGAAGGTAAACTAAATCATTCAGTGTCACAATGCTAGAGAGGCAGAGACAGGATATGAAGGAGGCAGCCTGACCCCAGAGCCAATGCTCTTACACACTCAATGCACCATTGTCCTTGGATGATCTAATGTAATCTTCACAATAACCTTATGAGATAGATCTTGTCTCCATTTTGTAGATGAGTACACTAAGCACAAAGGAAGCCAAATGTTTGCTAGGGGTTGCATAGCTAATAAACAGCAATTAGGATTGCTGCCATTTTTCAAGAAACCTTTGTGGGAAAGGAATATTGGGACCACAATTCTCTCAGTTGTTTTCTTAGTCCTTAATATTTTCTCACCGCCTTTTCTCAGAGACTGGCTCCAGAAGGATGCCCAGGTCCCCAGATAGGGCACTCAGTGCTGTGGTGGGAAGAAGGGGAAGAGGAATGGCCTTCTGCTCACTGATATCACTAGAACGTAAGCCCCACTTGTTAGCAACCATGTGTTTTCTTGCTTTAGCATGCCTAAAGTCTGCACTCTGTAAAATTGTTTGAACTATCCTGTTATGTCCCAAGTACATTTTAAAGATTCAGAAGAGAGGAAAACTTTTAAATTTAAAAATATATATATTAGCAAAATGACAAAAGGTGAAAAGCACAGTTTGGTTGAATGTATTTTTTTTTTTCCTTTGAGACGGAGATTTGCTCTCATTGCCAAGGCTGGAGTGCAATGACAGATCTCGGCTCACTGCAACCTGTGCCTCCCAGGTTCAAGCGATTCTCCTGCCTCAGCCTCCCAAGTAGCTAGGATTACAGGTGCCCGCCACCATGCCTGGCTCATTTTTGAATTTTTAGTAGAGACAAGGTTTCTCCATGTTGGCCAGCCTGGTCTCAAACTCCTAACCTCAAGCGATCCACCTGCCTCGGCCTCCCAAAGTGCTGGGATTAAAGGTGTGAGCCACAATGCCCAGCCGAATGTGTCTTTTCAATGCTAACAAAGAATTATTTAAAAGGAAGGATGAGAGTAATCTGTTGAGAACTGATAGTCAGTTGGGTCTCAAAATAGTGTACAGAGAGGTCAGAAGGAGAAAAGGCAGAGAAATAGGGCAGGGCCCCTGGAGAAGGAAGCAGGGACAAGCCTCAGTCTGAGGCTCCACCTGTGCACTGCTGTCTGCTCTCCCTGTCCCCTCCAGCGCCCCTCCTCCAAGGTTACTCCTCCCCACAACACTGGGTTGTAAGCACACGGGGCCTAGAGAGAAAGACCCCTTCCTCCCACTGTCCAGAGACACCGTAGGACCAGATAGCATCCCTCAGGTTATAATGTCTGGAGGGTCCCTTGCTTTATTTTCACCATTTCCTTATCAGTCCTCATAAGGTACCTGTGAGATTGGCTGCCTATCCTGGGCATAATTATCCCCATTGGATAGACTCTGGCACTGAAACAGGAAATCCAGCCTAGTGAATAGCAGAGGCAGGATTCTCAGCTAAGACATCTGACTTCAATGCTAGTGCTTCTCCTCTACTTAGGCTGCCTCCGAAGACCTGGGATCTTCTGAAGGGTGAAGTGCACACCAGTGGAAGGTATCTTTCTTTTGGGGAAGCAGATTCTCCTCACCTTTTCTCTGTTCTCAAAGCTTGCCATATGCTTACACCACAGCCATTGGTCAAGCTTGGCAACTACAATGGCCTATTGACCATAGGGATTGGTCTAAGAAATGGGTATGTAACCTAAAATAATCCAATTCAAATTAATCTCTGTAAGTTTCCAGACCTGAGTTCAGAAATAAGCACTGCGTAATAGTCAGGGCAGTAGATGCCCCAACATCCATTCATCCCCAGATCATTTTTCTAAGTCAATGATGGTATTCTCATCCCTCTTATCAGGAATTGAGTCAACAGCTGTCATGTGTCCCAGTTTTGGCCAATCAAGGGAAATATGCTACAGGTATGCTGGGAAAGTTTTCTCTTTCCTGAGAAGAAGACACAGACTATCACTGGTTCTACATGTGACACTTGGAACTAGTTCAACCCTTTCATCACCAGCTTAAAGATGAAGCCAGCACTGAGAACAGAAACAGGAAGCAGAAAGACCCAGAGTCCATGAGGACAGTATCCAGCCACTGCCTGAATGTTGCCTAGAGACTGCCCTGCCTCTGAACTTGGAGTTATGTGATGTAATAAACTGTATTTATATTTGTTTGTGCCAGAGTTTTCTGTTAATTGCAAGCAAAAGCTTCTTTTGTGTGTTTTCTGTTAATTGCAGTCAAAAGCTTTCTTTTCCTTTCAGGCCACACACATGACATAAAACTGACCCTGGAGCTTCTGCCCCACATCATCGAAAGCAACTGCAAGAAGCAGAAATGAGACAGGAGGGGAAAGAGATCTGACAGTGTTGAGGTCCCTCGGTTCTGTGACCCTGCTCTGCGCCTCCCTCTGGACTTGAGAAAGCTTGGGTCTTTCCAACTCCATGTCCCACAACAAATTCCCTGTGAGCCCTCAGCAGGGATGTATCAGTCTATTCTCATGCTGCTAATAAAGACATACCAGAGACTGGGAAATTTATAAAGGAAAGAGGTTTAATTGACTCAGAGTTCAACATGGCTGGAGAGGCCTCAGGAAACTTACAATCATGGCAGAAAGGGAAGCAAACATGTCCTTCTTCACACGGCGGCATCAAAAAAAGTATCAAGTAAAAGGGAAAAGCCCCTTATAAAACCCTCATATCTCGTGAGAACTTACTGTCTCAAGAACAGCATGAGGGTAACCTCCCCCGTGATTAAATTACCTCCCGTGGGGTCCCTCCTATGGCACGTGGGGATTATGGGAACCACAATCCAAGATAAGATTTGGGTGGAGACACAGCCAAACCATATCAGATAGGGTCTGCACAACAGCGGAAGGAGCCCTAGTTAAGTGCTGGGAAAGGAAGTTTTAGTCCTGCTCTTACCACCGACTTGCTGAGCAACTCTGGATCAGTCTCTTCACTGGACCTCTTATACCACCTATAAATGAGGAGTTTGATGGAATATCTTTCACGATTAAGAAACGTGTCCCAGTAATTCCACTCCTGTGAATATATCCTACAAGTAAACTCAAATGAACACTGAAAGATGCAGCACAGAGATGCCCGTTGCAGCATTATGTGTAGTAGCAACCTGTCTACCCAAAAGTTGTGTAAATGAGCTACCACATGCGCCAAATCGGGCTCACAGCCTGTTGAGGTATGACTTGTGAGCTAAAAATGGTCTTTACATCTTCAAAGCATTGTTAAAAAGAGAAATAGGACAAGAAAGAGGAGGAAGAAGAGAAAGGGGAGGAGAAATAGGTGGTACAGAGATCCTATGACCAACAAAGCCTACAATATTAGGTATCTGGTCTTTTGCAGAATACATTCGTTGGTCTGTAAGCTATAGTATAAACTTCCTGTGAAATAAACGGGCCATTGAAAACAGAAAAAAAACCCTCATGCGCTGACATGAAAGGAGATCTACTACATATTGTTAAATAAAAAATGCAAGTATCAGAACAGCATGAGTAGTCTGATTACATTTGTGTCAAAATACAGGATGCAAGTTATTTATAATGTATATGCAAATAAAATATCTGAAAGGACACGCAAGAAACTTAACAGTTATTGCCTCTGGGGAAATTAGACTGAAATGAAGGTAGTGATAGGGAGAAAAATCCTTTTATATTTTACTGTATTTTCTTCTCCACTCAGATTTTTACTATAAGCACGTTATGGCTTTCACCACAAAAATGAGCCAGTTGGACAGTACGATCTCCTGGGACACCTTCAGTTCTGAGTCTCTCTAGAATAATAACTTCTAACACTGAGTTACTATTTTTTCCAATTTGCTACTACTATGATAAACACATTCAACTTTTTGCTTCTTTTAATCTTCATAACCACCTCCTGAGGTTATGAACACTTTCTGCCAGATGAGGAGCCTCAGACCCAGAACTGTGATTTTTACCCGAGGATTCGAGGCTCTGTCTCCACTGCCTCAGTTTCAACAGCAACACCATCTGGCCTACCTGAGTGTCTGAGTGAGTCAGAGCGGGTCAGAGTGAGGTTAGCTAAATAAGCAGAAAAGAGCAAAAGATATAACATATGATTTAAAGAAGGCCAGAAAGGTAATATAGCCAAATAATTCTCTTTCTTGAGTCCATTTTAGACTGCTAATGAACAGAAGGCCAGGGTGAGAGGTAAATTTTTCACTTGGAAGTAAAGGAAAAAGGGTAAGTGCTTTTGATCACCCCTCAAATCATATGTAAATGGAGCCTACTCTGTCCATGGGGGAGGCTGTATGACCATGGGTAAACCGAAGGCCCTCTCTGAACCTCACAGCTCTTATTTCTAAAATGGGGAGGTTAGCCTGGATCAGGCAGGGATCATATACTGTTGGGTTACAAAGTGTTTACAAGGCCAAGCTGATCAAGATAATGGATCAGGGTGGAAACTGTAGGGAACTAGAGAATTCTTGACCTATTTAAAGCAGGGCAGAGTCTTTTTTTTACTTATAGATTGCTGCCAAGGGGGAATGCAGACCAGTGTCATCAAATGATCTGGTTTTCAAGAGAAGCCAGAAATTCAAATTTCTAAATGAAAAAAAAAAAATCAAATTTTAAAATTGTGTCATCTCATCCTAACATTGAAAAAAAAAAAAAAAAGAGCACTCTAGTGCCAAAACAAATGCATCCACGCATAGCCTACAGGCCTGCCAATCTGCCTCTAACAGAAAAGGTCATCAGGGACACTTGGAGCTCCAAGTCATTGAGTCCCTGATGCGGGTTGTAAGGGCTGCATTCCCCAAAGGGCAAATTCCATTAAGCTTCCATTTGAAACATCTATCACAACCCTACCTGTTTCCTTTCTCCCAGTTACATCTCCTGCTCACCCCAGCAAATAACAATTGGCAAAATCCAGAAAGTGAAAGTGCCAAGCAAGAGGAGGAATAAAGCATTGACTTCAGCCATCTGTAGCCAGCAACAGGAGATGAAGTACACCCTGAGGAAGTCAAGGCATCCTTTGCTCACATGACTGACTGTCTCTTTCCTGGGGACAATCCCTACAGAAATGGCAGAAAAGTCTCTCTCTCTTTCCCCTCCTGCATTCAAGCAGCCACTTGCCTCCTTTCTTTCCCCTCTGCCAGTATCCTCAGCTTTTTTTCGCCCACACCAGCGATTTCCATGCACGGGAACAACACTCCATCTAGAAGTGACAAGCCCCCACCACCAGCAGACTGTGACGGCCCAGCTTGTTCTTCATTCTGACGTGGCTGCAAGCAACACTAGGCTCCTTGGCGACAACCTCAAGGTGATTGGAATACTGAAAGCCCCAAGATGGGTGTGTTCATGTGCACGTGCACACGTGATAAGAACAGCAATCATTCGAGCTCTTGACAGCCCTCACACTGTAGGAGCAGGAGAAGCAATCCATACAAGGGAAATGGGAAAATAAAAACTGCCATATTCAAGCATCAGCCATGACCCCCTATTGCATGCAGAATAAAGCCAAATTCCTGCATTCAAGGCCACCTACCTCCCAGTAGCTTTTCCAGTCTCATCTTGAACCACACTGTCTCTAGAAAGCTATACATCAGTTACTTAAATATTTTCCCTAAACTCTCCCACCTCCCAGTTTGCTCACTCTAGCTAGAAGGTGCTTCCATTTGGAAAGAGGTAGATTTTTATGTTTAATGAAAAAAAAAAACTTAGGAAATTTTGTTCTAGCAGTTCCATTACAGAACCACCAAAAATAATTTCCAACTAATACCACTAGGCAATCATGGAACTAATGGTAAATATTATTTATTGAGCACCTACTATGTGCCAGATACTATACTGAATGCTTTATCTGCCTTACGTTATTTCACTCTCACAACCACTCTATTAGATGAGAACACAGAGGCACATAAAAGCTTAAAGGATACCCTATCCAATATCACACAGCCAACGCATGGCAAAGCCAGGAGTCAAGCCCAGGACCTCTGTCTCCAGAGCTTTCAGCCTCACCACTGGGATATATTGTCTTTCTATGGGAAGATGCGTATCGAGGAAAGGGAAATGAAACAGGATGGGGTAGTCTGAGTTTTAGTCCCTGCTGGGTCTTTGTCACTTTGGACAGGTCATTTCACCACTCTAAGCCTCTGTTTGGCCCTTCTCTAAAATCAGAGTCTAAATATAAGACCCAAAGGATGCGGTTTGTGATGCCATATACAAGTAATTTCATCCAGATTTATTACAAAAGAGATAAGGGGAAAAAGAATAGCACAACTGAGCTTAAGGGAATAGAATGTTTGGGGAACATAACCAAAATGGGGTGGCAAACAGAGATGTGGATAAGTTAAGCCACGGAATGATCTAAAAGTACACTTCTCTGAGACAGCCTTTGGAGAGGCCTGTTGTGACTGAAGGGACCCTGGGTACTCTACTCAGAAGGTTTAACTCCAGGCTGAAGCTCTCAGCCCCTGGGTGAGGGTCCAGATAAGCATCACTGCAGATTCTCCAGTGTCCAGCAGAGGGCACCCACGTCCACCTACTCAGCTGCTCAGAGAGACTTGGCAATCTGGCTTCAGACATCCCCTTACAAGTTACTTGTCTATCCTGCCTTGTTTCCCCTGATCCATTTACCAATGGGACTGGAATAAACCAAGGTATGGGAATAGGCCATTTAGAAGCTAAATTTGCTCCTATATGCCTCTGAATTTCCAAGAAACATGTTTAAAAGATGACGAGGCTGTGCAGCGGTCCCGTTCCTCCCCTGCCATTCTTCTTTGTTCCTCGGCCTCTCCAAGCAGAGTCCAGGAGATAAGAGAATCTGCCTGGCTGGCACTCTTGCTGCAGCTTCTCTGGTTACTCTCGGGGGATTCCTGATTTTGTTGAGAAGGGTTTCTCTTTATCAAATCACAGGCCTCCTCCGAAATGGCCCAAGAGACCATCACCGCCTGCCGGGTGCTGAAATATGTTATCATTAGGCTCAACATGCTATTTAGTTAATTAAATGTCATGCTTTTGATGGCATTAATTAGACCCGCTGCCGATTCCTCAGAAAACAAAACCAAACAAACATAAAAAAATCACTCCTAACCCAGGGAGACTCAATGGAGCCAAAGTGAGATCTTCCTAAATCCCTCTCTCCTCCCAGGACAAAATTAGTCCACATGGATCTTTGAACAGCTCAATGAGCTTCATGATGTCATTTTTCCTTTGAGGGATGATGTTATTAATGTTCCTGGTATTTTAGAGCAGTTAATGTTTTTATTAATAATGACATAATTGTCCTTTATAGGAATGTAATATTTTAGAGGTTGCTATGGACTGAATTGTGTCCCCCTCCAAAAAATTTATATTCATAAGAGTCATGTATAAACAGGTAGCCACATATCCAGAGATCTAAGAATTACAATGATGACAAAGGGTCAAGGTGGACAAATAGTCAGATGTGTCCAGGCACTACCAGGAAAACAGCAACATAAGGCAGGCCCAAGATTGACGGCATAAGTCATCAAGTTCCAAGATACAGACATAGGCAGCAGGATCTAGTAGAAAGGCTATTGAATGAGTGACCAAAGGCCTGTCTCTTATTACTGGTGATCTTCAGCAAATCATTTAGTATCTCTGGACTTGGTTTCCTCAGCTTCAATTGAAAAGAATGGACAAGACAATCCCTAAAAGTTCAACCTCCAAATCCTGATACCAGGGGTCAAAAGTAAGGCAGAGGCAAACTTCTAAGAGTCTGGGCTACTAAGAATTTTGCAAAGCAGAACCAGTGTCCAGATGTGGAGAGCCACAGTAGACAGGCTTATGATAGTTTAATGGGGGACACTTTTGAGAGTTAAGCAGGAGCAAGTCATACTTCATCAGTGATAATATGTATAAATGGACACCACCTCAGCAAACCAGTTCATGCGGCCTCTAGCTTATGGGAGATGGACATCTCAGAACCTCAGACTGTGCCTCATGCCCCACAGTTCTCCATCTGCCCAGCATGTCCTGATAGCACTGTCCTGCTTAGCGGATTCATCCTATCTTGGCTTGGCTTGTGTCCCAACACAGAGGTCCACTTGGGGCCAGGCTGGGGGTTTTCAGAACAGTCTAAATCCTCAGCAGATTCCTTAGGTTAAATGAGAGGGATAGGCAGATTCAGCAGGCAGAGGCTGAGCCATTCTGAGATATGGCCAAGTTACAAGAAAAAGTATATTCAGGCTGGGCACAGTGGCTCACACCTGTAACCCCAGCACTTTGGGAGGTCAAGGTGGGTGGATCATTTAAGGTCAGGAGTTCAAGACCAGCCTGGTTGACATGGTGAAACCCTGTTTCTATCCAAAAATACAAAAATTAGCCAGGCATCATGGCGAAGGTCTGTAGTCCCAGCTACTCAAGAGGCTGAGGCACAAGAATTGCTTGAACCTGGGAGGTGAAGGTCACAGTGAGCTGAGATCCCACCACTGCACCCCTTGGGCAACAGAGTGAGACCCTGTCTCAAAAAATTAAAAGTATATTCAACTAGGACCCAGGAAATCTGAGTTGTAACACTAGATAGGTCATTGAATTTACGTGTATCTTTGTGAAAGTCACTTAATTTTTCTGAGCCTCAATTTTATCCCCTATACAATCGAGGGAGAAGCCTGGTTGTTGTCTGGAATTTTCTGCCCTAATATCATAGCGTATTACACTTTTTATAAACGTGGCACTTTACCTTGGCAATCTGAAGTAGAAACAGAAGTGAGGTTTTAGATTTTCAGCTTCTCCTTCAGACAGTGAACTCTCTAAAAGCTCTAACCATGTCCATTGCACTAGTTCTAGATATAGTGAATGTTAGGAATGATGATGGCTACTGTGAGGAGGAGGTCACCACAGTAGAGTTGACAACACCTTAAATAGCTCACATGTATACCACAGCATTTTAAATTCTGTTTGGATGATCAAAGGTAAAATGATATTTGCGTTACTCACCAGTCCTGATAATATCATTGAGCACCTAGATCCAGCCATGCCTGTAGTTAACATACTCCCTATTTTCCAGTTACATGAATTAGTCACTTTCCCCTTTTATCTTTCATGGGTTGAAAAGTTCTCTGTCCTGACTAATCCTGTTGCATTCCATTTCTATCATTTGTAACTGAAAGAGGCCTCAGAATATACAAGACATCAAGAAAGTAAGATTGCCACATATAATACATAATACAAAGCTAGATTTAGATGTCTCTGCAGGTTTTCTTTTGTATAGGTCAAGAGTCAGAAGGGGGAAATTTTAGAACCAAGATCATGCTGATGTCAAGAATCTGCCAGATTAAGTTGCAGAACTGTTTGTTGAAATGCCCTTTTACCCAGTCATGCTGAGCATTTTAAACAGTCTGCAGTTTGGTCCTCAGAAACTTAGCTACCTAAAGAGAAGTATCTATCTCTTATGATGGCACAGTGTTAGTAAAGTAGACAAACACTCCAAAAAGATGTGCCGATGAGCTGTATGTAATATATACTTGAGGACAGTGACAGCCACTTATTGAAGACCTATTGTGTGCTAGGAATGTCCTGGTGGCCATTCCCACAATAATCCTGGGTATTTGATATAATTATCCCCATATCATTAACACTGATGTTCAAGATCACAGAGATTAAGTGACTTTTCCAAAAAGAGTCAGTGGTTCAAAGCTTGGTCTCCCAAGTTCAAGCCCAGTGTTCCTTCCACCATGCCACAGTAGCTTTCTATCCACAGAATGAAGGGGGGTCAGTAAGATACTAATAGCACCAAAAGAGGGGTAAATAAAAACAGCCCAGCCTTGAAGGTGGAGGTGCTTCAAAAGGAAGCACCTGTTTCCAAAGGGTCAGAGCCTGTGGTAAGGAAAGGCATGAGACAAGCTGTGTTCACTTCCTGACAATCCTGCAAATCCTTTCCTAAACTCATCATTATCTTTCTTTGCTCTTCCATCTCCATGTAACCCCCAAAATCAGTCTCAAAGTCATAAAGCTGGTAAGTATCAGAGGCAATATTGGAACTCACTCCTGTCTTGCTCCAGAGCCCAGGCTCTTAACAATCACCTCAGGATTTCCCAAACATCATCACTCCTACATCATTTCTGGACTTTTCCATGCCCTCGACCACCTGCATTGTTATTTACTTAGTACTTTAATTTAAAATGATACATTTCCATTTAAAATTACTTAAAGAGGAAACCTCACATTACTATACAAATGGAAAAATTATATCACTTGCCATAAATAGAAGGAAACCTCAAAATAAATACAAGAACAAGCCAAAGTTATTAAATTTAAGAGACACTGTTACTTGATGATGTCTCTGAACCAAAAACTTGCATTTTTTGCTTAAAAAAAAAGGTTGAGAGGAATATTGAGGCTTTAAAAAATATATTAGCGCACACATGAGTCTTTCTCCCTGACATAATCAGATGAATTAAAAGAGAATTGAAAAGAAAATAACTTTTCTCACAACACAATTCTACATCATTTAATACCAAGTCTATATGCTACCCAGAATCCCGGTGGAAGTGCCAGCAGGCAGACACGCGCTTTACTTTCGGTCACCCTGCCTTAGTGTTCATCCTGGCTCACATGCAGCTGCCCCTTCCCCATCTCTGTGCCTTTGCCTCTGCTGTCAGCCTCACCATCCTTCCCTTTCTTCTAGCAAATCCCATCTCCCCTTCGTGCAGCCTTCCTGAAATGTTTAATCCTAACATGCTGCTTTGCTTCTGTACCACACATTTAGGAAATGTGCTATTTATTGTCCTTAGTGCTAACGTAACCATCTCATGTGCAGATTTCATCTTGCTTTGATAAGCTTGATACTCAAACAAGCAAAGTGACTGTCCCAATTAATCAGCTTCCGTATCTGAAAAGTAAACTGCAAAACATCTAACATCCATTCTAGCTCTCATGGTGGCTTCATGTATTTTAGAACTGGAACTATCTTACAATCATCTGATCCATTCCCTTATTCTACAGATGAGAAGGCTCAAGCTTTAAAGTGGTGTACTCAAGGTTTAACCCCTAGAAGCTGATGACACAACTGGAGTCTGAACCCAAAAACTCTCGGTGGGCAGACATGTTTTTCTTCTATATTTTTCTCTATGATAAGGACCTAAGAGGTCTATGGCCATACCACCCTGAACGTGCCCTGTCTTGTCTGATAAGGACCTAAGAGCACTTAATAAATACAACTCAGAATTGAAACATTCAACAACAAATCCCCATGTTCCTAGTTCAGTTGTTGAAAAATTCCACTGAAGAAAGACTCTTCCAGGAAACATATGCAGGGAAGAGCTTCATTTTTGCAAACCAGGCTTTACTGAGTTTGTTGGGATTTGTAAATGAGGTCTGATGGAGTGGAAGGGGCAGGGCAAAGGAAATAGGAATGATTCTGCTGCTGGTGATATTGTAGGAATAATAAACATCTCCTTAGGGAAAGTTTTTTTTTTTAACTGTTATTATTAAACCTCTCAAACATAACCAAGTGAAGAGTGCCTGCCAAATTGTACCTACCTCTGCTGCTGAGATGATTCAGATAAGCTTTAGATAAATACCCCCAGCTCTATGGCCCTGATCCAACAGGAGCTAGAACTTCCAACACTTTGAGGTTTGCCCAGCACTAAGTAATTATCCCTGGAAATATTTACTGTTTATCTACCTTCAAATTTTAATGACAGAGATTCCACTGCATCCATTGTGATTCAAGGCACGGACAAAAGCTCCCCCTGGCTCACCCTAATAAACCTAATACTGCACACAGTACTGCTTACATTTTTGTACGGTTGCCTTGTCACCCCTTTCCAGCTTTTTTGTGTGTGGAAAACAAGAAGTGTTTCTTAATTTGTTCTTTAAAAAATAGTATCTTATCCAAATTAGAGGTTCTGTGAGTTACTTTTGTTTGAATGTCTGTTTCTTCATCTTCTGGGAAGGCAGTCCACTTCTCCTAGCAAGGGATGTGTTCCTCTGTGACACATTTTCCTTGGATTCCAGGAGTATTTCTGTAGTGTTTCACTATCCATGATTGCCCTAATCAACACTATTCTCTCTATTCAAGGTCACCTAAAGACCAAGGCCTTGGAGTGAGAGAAGAGAAAATATAAGAGTTAAGAGGTCCCTCTGGGCCTCAGTTTCCCTATTGGATTAGGTTAGGGAAGCCGAAAGCTTTCTGCTGCTCTAAGAATCTGTGATCAGCCTGTGATGAATAGTTCAATAAATGTTACCATCAGAGAACCAGCTCACTGTTTAATCATCTACAAAAGATGCTAATGGTCAGGAATGTGAACTTGGGGAGAATTATGTGTTCACCTCTCCGTCAGGGACACCCAGCAGTGAAGGACCCTCTACGAGCCAGGCAGTCTTCATCTTCCAGGAAAGACAGCCTGAGAGTCATACTTCTCTTTCTTGTAGAACAACATGATAAAATCGCCTTCCTTTCCCTCCTCCAAAACAGCCCAGGGAGTCAGCAGATTTGCTGTAGAGCAGGAATTTTAGCTGCTCCATCCTGATCTCCAATAGGCAGTAAAGACTTGACTTTCCCAAGAGTCTGGCTACCAGCCATGGGCAGGGCTGCAGCAGCCACCTCTGGAGCAGGGTCTTGAGGACCTGTGGGAAGCCACTCCCCCTACACTTCTCTAAATGGGGTGATACTTAATGTCACCCCATTTATGGGTGAATTTATAAATTAGAATCAGAATAAATAATATTTGAATGAAAGCCCAGTAGCTTCACCTAGGAAGCAAACTGCTTGATTAGATTTTAGAGCCTGATCTTTGTCACTAACATCTTCCCCTCTAACATACAGCTGCCAACTCCTTAAGGCACATAATGCCAAGATCAGGCTTCCCAGGGAGTGAAACATTCCCTCCTTTGCTTAAAACCAGAAGACTAACATTCAGGTCCACATATTTTCTCACCAATTTGCTGTGTAGCCTCAACAAACATCTTTGCCTCTCTGAACTCCAATAGAGTCATCTGTCAAATCAAAATGTAATTCAGAACACTTAACTGAGTGCCCATTTAAAAGGCGCTAATGAGCGAGATGACGTGATACAAAGAAGAACACAAGGTGATCTTTGCCCTCAACTGACGGTAAGATGCATATCGGTGACTGCAGCACAAAACTGAATGAGAAAAGTGCCATGAGAAATTATAGTTTTGGTTGGGGTAGAAAATGAGAAAGCATGTTGAAGAAATTAGTATTTAAGCATGAGTGAAAAAAATGATAGAATTTCGGGGGCAGACATAAAGAGTAGCATGAGCATTCCTGGCAAAAGAAACAACATGAGAACAGATATGAAGCAGGAAATGGCAGACTGTGTTTGGGGAATGTGGGTGGTTTGGCTTGGTTAGAGACTGGAGTGCAAAGGAAGAATAGTAAAAGCAGAGAACTGAAGATACACAGTAAGGCCTGACCATCGGAGGTATTTATTTCATCTAGAGGTTATAATTCATTCTGGCAATAGGGACCCATTAGATATTATGGAGTGAAGGAGTGATGTGATCAAGGCTGTGCTTTAGGGACTTAAGTCTGGCAACTGTGTAGGACATGAATGAAGGGTGAGGAGAGACTGGAGGCAATAAAGCAGTCAGGAAGCTGCTGCATTACCTCCCCCAGGGTGCTATAACGAGGCACTGATTTAAGGCAGTGCATAGCTCCTATGGTTGGCAGAAAAAAGAAAAGAAAATAGATGCAAAAGCATTAAATTATTTGGGTAGAAAATAGGTAGCAAATTCAGTGTCAAGAACTAGGAAGGGTCTGAGATCTTGTAAACTGATAATTTAGTCTGCCATAGTTCCATACATGTTAGCAGAAGGCATGAGATTCCTGGGTCAGAGACAAAAGACTTTATTGTCACAGCACAGCAGGCAGCATAAACTACATGTTTGCCTCTATTTCCCTTGCCCCAGAATTTTATGGGGCAACATAGAGATGGGCCCAGGTAGATACAGCAAGCACAATGTGTTTGTGACCTAGCTGAGGAACCCTAAGCTTAGGAAACCTCCAATGTTTCATGGAGACACTAGCAAACCTGACAAACCTTTGCCCCAGAGTTACATATTATCTATGTTATCCTGGTCAGGAAAGAAATCTGCCCTATACTCCAGAGGGGGACAATATCTTTATCTTCCAAAGCTATTTGCTGTATAAATATCCTTAACATATAGTCCCACACAAGGCTGTTCATGTCTCTTGCTCAGAACATAGGCAGTAATGCAAGATCTCATGGAAGACTGTCTCCTAGCAGTCTTCCCTATTGGGAATGAATATTTCCTAACTCCACACATGACTGGAAAGCTTCCACCTGAAAGTAATTAAGTAAATAGACTTTAGCTCGGCCACAAAGGGGTCAAATAGACAAGACCATGTCTCCCTTGCTTAACTGTGTACCACCAAGAAACAAACAAAATTAGCACTATAATCGGATCCGTGATGTTGTCAATTTGCAAGAACAAATACGTTTCCACTTCTTAAGAATGTTCCTTTATAGGATCATGTCTTCTGTTGATGAAGATTAAAATAGGGTTTACAAGTTGCCTACCCCAGGGAACCATCCAGTGGACAAGCCCTCCCTCTCAGTGCTTCAAACGCAGCTTGATTTTTATTACTACACATATTTTTATCCTCCCATAAGGTTAGAGTGCTGAAGAAGATGGTTTTGCATGGCTGTGTAAACATCATTTCTGCTTCCCAGGATGACAGAGAAGGAAGGAAACTCATAACAGCATTAGCATTTTTACTTACTGAGCACCTTTACCTGAAAAACCCAATTAATGCTTTGCTTAGGATGTAGTCATTTATACTCCATGACACCCCTGAGAGGTAAGGTAAGTTTATTAAATTTACTTCACAATATTACAATAGGGGTTATGAAATTGAAGGTCAGGTCAAGTAGGAAGCATTCAGAATGACACTAGCGGAAGTTGGAGAGCCAATATTGAGATCCCCTCTTAGGTGTTAACAAATCTCTCCCTCCTTAATGAAGAAAATTCTGACAACTGAGAACTATGAGATCACATCCTCTATTGCACCATTTTATTGCGCTAAATGATTCTACTTACCATTCCTATTTATTCTTCACATGCCTCTCTACCTTTACTTGGGCAAATCTGACCTACTCCTGAATTTCTACAAGTAGAGTTGATGCCATTTGCAGGCTCTCTTTCCCCATTGCCCACCCTACATATCCACCTCCTGTCCATCTCTTAAGGCCAATATCATCTCCTCCCTGAAGTCCTCCCAGAATCCCTCTGTTAGCCTTTTATCTGTGACTCATTATAAATATTTACAAAGCAAAGTAGAAAGTGGCATGTATTAGCTTCTTCCTAAACTGAAACCTTCTTGAAGACATGATTCCTGTCCATTTCTTCTCCATATTCCTCATAGTACTGAGTTCAGTGTCTGATTCCATACAGTTTCTCAAGAAAAATTAATGGAAAAAGTGAACCAATTTATAATATATAAATGGATATCAACTCTTCCTCTGTCATGATTGCTGGAGAATAACAGCATAATCTCATATGCTATGACCTCACAAGATACTTAGCTTGATTATTCTTTAATTCCAGAGCACAAAAGCCACAGATGTGGTTTTAAACAGTACATCAAGATGTAGAAAACTTGAACACAGAGGTTTTATCTTTCCTCTCAGCTCTTTTTTTCTATACAAAATAGTAAAAATGTCTTCCATCTCTGCAGCCCTTTCATATTCTTGATTCTCATGAGATTTCACGTGATCTTTCATAATCTGCCCTTTGGGACCCATAAGGTACTTTATACTTTCCCCACTTTATTGATGAGGAAAGTGAGACTGCTGTGGGCTGAATGTGTCCCCCAAAATATGCATGGAAAAGTTAATCCAATGCTTTCATGTCTGTGAAGTGGGGCCTTTTGGGAGGTGTTTGGGTCATGAGAGGTTAATACCATTATAAAAGGTCATGGCAGAGGGACACTGGCTCCTTTTTGTCCTTTTTCCTTCTGTCATGTGTGAACTCAGCATTCAAAGCACCATCTTGGAAGCAGAGACTGAACCCTCCTCAGATTCTTGAACCTGCCAAGACCTTGATCTTGGAACTTCTAGGCTCTAAAACCATCAGAAAATAAATTTCTGTTCTTAATAAATTACCCAGTCTCAGGTGTTCTGTTGTAGTAACACAAATGAAATAAGACAGAAGTTGGTACCAGAGCAGTGGGGGTGTTGTTATAATAAAGATCTAAAAATGTGGAAGTGGATTTGGAACTTGTTAATGGGCAGTGGCTGGAATGCTTTTGAAGTGGATTCTGGAAAGATCTTGTATTGCCATGAACAGAGCATTAAGTGTGAGTCTAGTGAGGGCTCAGAATAAGAGAAGACTACGGAAAGTCTGCACCTTGTTAGATCTTATTTAGGAGGTCGTGACAGTAAGGACTATTCTGATGCAAGTCTCAGAGGGAAAATGAGGAACAAGGTATTGAAAACTGGAGGAAAGCCCATCCTTGTTACAAAGTGGCGAAGAACTTGGCTGAATTATGTCCCTGTCCTAGGGCCTTGTGGAAGGCAGAACTCAAGAAAGTTAACTAGAATATTTGGCAGAAGAAATCTTTAAGCAGCAAAGCATTCGGGGTTCTGTGTAGCTTCTCTTAAATGCTTATAGTAAATTGTGAGAAGAGAGAAATGATTTAAAAATTGAATTTATTATCAAAAGGGAAGCAGAATGTAAACATTTGAAATTTTTTCCATCTGACCATGTAAAGAATAATAAAGCATATTACATATTAAGGGGAAAAAAAACAAGGATGTGGCCAAGTGGCAGTTTAATAATAAGATTAGCATGAAAGCCAGGTGTTATTCACCAAGACAATGGGAAAATAATCCTAAAGGCATTTCAGAGATCTTGAAGGCTGTTCTGTGCATCACAGGCCCAGAATGCCAGGGACTTGGGGCCAGAATTGTTTTGGGGAAGAGGTCCGGGGTACCTGTGGGATTTTGGAACTCACTTCCCAGGACTGACTGAGGTCTGTGCTCCTCACATTCCAGAGCAGCCCACCTCAGCCACCCCAGCTGTGGCTCAAGTGGGCCCAGGTGCAGCTCAGAATGCTGCTCTGGAGAGCATAAGTACTGAGCCTCAGTGGCATCACATATACTAATTCTACAGTCAAGCAGAGTGCAGGGGCTGTGGAGGCATGGCTCCCTCCACCTAGATTTCAAAGGATGCCTCAGAGAGCCTTAGGTCCCAGGCAGAGATCTGCTGCAGGGAAGAAGTCACAGCAGAGAGCCCTCACTAGGGCAATGCCCAGCAGAACTATGGAATTGGAGCCACCACAGAGAGCCCCCACTAGGTCAATGCTTAGTGGAGCCATGGAGGCAGGGTCACCCTTGAGACCTCTGTAGAGCCACCACTGTGTAGCACCAGCTGGGACAACTGCAGGGATGCAATTTCAGTGTGTACATGCTGAAGTTTGGGCTGCGCCCAGGAAATCCCACTGGGCAGAGCTGCCAAAGGTTTAGGAGGCCTAACCCAACTCCAGTCTGTCCAGGAGGTAGAATGTAGAATCAAAGAAGATGATTCTTAAGATTCTAGCCGGCCAGGCATGGTGGCTCATGCCTGTAATCCCAGCACTTTGGGAGGCCGAGACAGGCAGATCACAAGGTCAAGAAATCGAGACCATCCTGGCCAACATGGTGAAAGCTTGTCTCTACTAAAAATATAAAAATTAGCTGGGCATGCATGGTGCATGCCTGTAGTCCCAGCTACTAAGGAGGCTGAGGCAGGAGAATCGCTTGAACCTGGGAAGCAGAGGTTGCAATGAGCCGAGATCACGCCACTGCACTCCAGCCTGGCAACAGAGCAAGACTCCATCTCAAAAAAAAAAAAAAAAAAAAAAAAAAAATCAGCCTTAAGATTTAATGTCTGCCCTGCTGAGTTTGGACTTACTTGAAACCTGTTACCCCCTTCTTCTTTCCTCTGTCCCACCATTGTATTTTGGAAGGACATAACTTGTTTGATTTCACAGGCTCACAGCTAGAGGGAAATTTGCCTCAGTATGAAATTTGCCTTTAGTCTCATCCATATCTGATTTAGATGAGACTCCGGACTTAAGACTTTAAAGTTGATGCTAGAACAAGTTAAGACTTTGAGGAGCTATTGGGATGAAATAAATGTATTTTGCATGTGAGAAGGGCATGAATTTTGGGGGCCGAGGATGGAATGCTATCGTCTGCATGTGTCCTCCAAAATTCATGTACTGAAAACTTAATCCCCAATGCAATAGTATTGAAAGGCAGAGCCCTCATTAATAGACTAATGTCATTATAAAAGGGCTTGATGGAGTGGAGACTTGTGGTCTTGACAAAGAGATGCCTTAAGGTGGAGGATTAATTATATCATTTTATTGTCAACATTAAAACTAGTATTTTGTATATGTTTCATTTTAAAAATGCATTTGATTTGGGGCTTGAAAAATGATTTAAAAATAAAATGAAAAAGCTTGACAGAGTTTGGCCCCTTTTTGCCCCTCCACTTTTTTGCCATGTGAGGACACAGTGTTCCTCCCCACTGGAAGATGCACCATTCAAGGTGCCATCTTGGCAGCAGAAACCAGACCCTCATCAGACAACAGAACCTGCCAGCCCCTTGATCTTAGACTTCACAGCCTTTACAAGTGTGTGAAAATAAATTTCTGTTCTTTACACATTACCAAGTCTCAGGTATTCTGTTATAGCAGCACAAACAGACTAAGACAGAGGCTAAAATAAGTTAAGTGATCTACCCAGTGACAGATCACTGGTTAACAGTAGGTTGGGATGGGATCTCAAATATCTGATTCTAAATCCAGGACTCCTCTCTTTGCCATTAGTTAAAACAATTAATCTATTCTTCTACCTTTGAAAATTATATTTCAGATTTATTGCTCATTAAATAAGCATCTATTTAGTGCCTTCTTTGTATCTGAACACTAGTTATAGAGGAAGAAATCAACTAAGCATTGCCTCTGCCCCTAATAAGTTCACAGTCTAATTGAAGAGACCAGTAAGTAAATCAGCAACTACTGTGTGGCGTGTGCCTTGATTAGTGTGTAACTGAGTAGGGAGCAAATTTAGAGGAAAAGGATTTCAACTGGATATGGGGAGCAGGCGCTTAAGGTAGCAAAGAGGGGACAGGCATCGCAGGGCAAGAGTAAACAATGGGTAAGCATATGAAAATCATTAGAATACATGGTGTGTAAGAAAGCTATGAGGCCAGAGGTGACCAAAGACCAATCATGGAGGACCCTATCCACCAAATAGCAGTTCAAAATGCATTGTAGTAGATAAAAGCTATTGTAGACATGGAGGGAGAACTTGAAAACGTTGAAGTGGGGAGAGGCATAATCCCATTTGAATATTAGATTAATTGTTCTGTGGTTATTGTGGTGGGAGGGAAGTAGTGTACTTTGAAATAAGGAGACCCTTGGGAAGCTTCTACCTGGTTGAAATCTAGAGATTGAGGGCCTGAATTAAATTAATGATAAAAAATTAGTAATCAGACACCAAGAAAGTAAATATGGAAGCAATTTAGTAAATAATTATATTAGGGAAGGATATATGAGAAAATAGAATCTTAAACACCTCCCAGATCTGGCTTGGGTGTCTGGGTGAATGATGATACCATTTAGGAGAACGAGAAAGTCTATGGGGAAGATGGTGAGTTTATTTTGGACATATTGCATTTGAGTTAGTTGTGAGCTATACAAGGAGAGCTGTCAGGGAGGCAAACAGGTACAAGGGTATGGCATTTAGCACAGAGGTCTGGCTTAAGAGTGTTTTCAGAATCACAAGATTATAATTGGTAGTTCCTGCCACAGGCTTAGAAGTGTCCACCCAGAGAGAATGTTTAGGATTAGAAGAATGAGAAATTAGAGTAAGGAAGGAAAGAAAAAGAAAGAAATCCTGGAAGAAAGCAGAGATGGTGTCACGCTTTTCTCAAGCACTGAGAGAGAGAAACTCAAATGCCCTGAGGCATCCGCTGTATGTAATGGTTTAACTTCTCTCCCAGAAGGGTACTAGTTATGTACCTTCCATAGGAGAATTGAGACAATAACATCACTCAAACTATTTTCTGTGTTATGTGTCCCAGGTGAGGATCCCTGGTTGAGAAACACTGTCAGGCAGAGGGGAGGAAAACCAGCAGACAGTCGTGCCACAGCAATCAAAAGAGATGGTCGATGCCAAATGTCACAAAGAGTTTGAGAAGGAATAGCACAGGAAATATCCACAGGACTTGAAAACACAGAGTTTATTACCAGGTAGAAGGAGCAATTGCAATGTGTCGGGGAGGAGAGGACATCGTATTGGTGGGTGACTAAATGGGTTCCGACAAACAGGCTGTAGTAAAAATGCTGAAAACTAGTGTATGCCTTTGAAGAAAACTGACTATTAAGAGGAGGAAAGAAATCAAACTATAGCTTGTGGGGAATCTGGTACTGGTTATATTTATACACTGAGAAGAAAGAACAAGTGTGATAGAGGTGGCAATTGAGGAAAAGGCCACAAAGTAAATGACTGGCAAAACAAGATTCACAAGGGAGTGATAGAAGATGGGATACAAAGATGGGCAAAGAGATGACCCTTGGCCAGCAGAATGAATCTCTCTCTCTCCCTCTCTCTCTCCCCACCTCTCTCTCTGATATAGGGAGAAAGGAGGAAAAGAGATAGGAGATATGCTTGCAGATATCACAAGAGGCAGTTGGTGTGGCAAGAATGATAATGATGATCCATCTTTTCAGTGAAGTAGTAAAGTTCATCCGTGTTAGAAAAAAAAAATGACAAAACTGGGCATTTTCAGAAAGGGGTAAAATTGGGTAAGAGCCAGGGAGGAAAAATGGAGAAGGGATGTGACTTGGAACCCGTGGAAGGATGGCCAAGCTGCATGGAGGATCCAAGGAAGATCACAAACCCCTAGAAATACTCACCGCATTATATTCCAGATTATCTCCACTCGCATAGATGGAGTACATGCAATCACTGCTACTCTCTGAGCCCATCTCTTTGAAATCAAAGGCACACATTTGCAAAAGAACTATCCCAGTTTATGGCAATCATGCTTAGCTATGAAAGAAGTTGTTCCTAAGAGATTCGTAATGAAGACTGAACGCTCTAACTTAGCCTCATCTACACAGTCCTCTACCCTCCTTAGATAACAACTTCACAGTAACTAGTTTCTCTCCCATTAATATTCTCCAGTGAACATCACTTGAAAATATTAGCTCTTCGCCAGCCAGCCACACCCACCCAAATGCACTGATATATAAAATAGGACCCTTGACTTAAGCAGATTCAGCCGCTATTCAGGAATAGGCCTACACTTCTCTTTAACTGGGTCCTTAAGCAGTCTTAAGATGCTGTTGACACTCTAGATCAAGGACTAAGATGCAGTCAGAAGTATTTTTTCTATCTCTGGACTGGCCCATAGACTTCTGTCTTTGAATTTATGGTATTCAGTACACTGTGACTTAAATGGAAAGGTTTGGTATTAAATCAACCAGTACGAACTCATTATCTATCTACTACATGACAGACACTATGCTAGGTGCTCAGGATGCACCCATATACATCACAGACATAGTCTCTCTTATTGTGATCCTTACAGTGTAGTGTGAAGAAAGTCAATCTTACTGATAAGGTCATCAGTGAAGAGGTCGTTAAGAGAGAAAGAGGATCTCCAGATTGGACAGTTGACATGAAAAAGTACACTTGGACTGGGATTGTAAGCTGGACCCAATGTTCTAAAATCCTTTAGCCCCATTTTTGACAGTATGAGTGATGATATTAGATGGCCTCCTAGCCATGAACAGTTTATTCATCCTACTCATCTCTGTGTCAAGCTTACAAAGGAAGTCTAATCCTTGGGTTGGGTGATGTCTCCTTATGAACTTATAGTAAAACTAGTGTTAAAAAAATTTCCAAACAAATATGGACTCCTACACTTAGAGAGGATTTTAGAGCCAATTTATTGCCCTTCTGGTGTTTGAATCTCTCATATAACCTTCTAAACAAGTAGTCATGCAGTCTCTGATTGAATACTTCCAGTAAGGAGTAACACTACCCCCAAAGATCACCTACCTTAACTCAAAATTTACTTTATGTTTAGGCCGGACGCAGTGGCTCACGCCTATAATCCCAGCACTTTGGGAGGCTGAGGCAGGTGGATCATAAGGTCAGGAGATCAAGACCATCCTGGCTAACATGGTGAAACCCCATCTCTGTTAAAAATACAAAAAAAGTTAGCCAGGCATGGTGGCGGGCCCCTGTAGCCTCAGCTACTCGGGAGGCTGAGGCAGGAGAATGGCATGAACCTGGGAAGCAGAGCTTGCAGTGAGCCGAGATCGAGCCACTGCACTCCAGCCTGGGCGACACAGTGAGACTCCATCTCAAAAAAAAAAAAAATTTACTTCATTCTTTGAATGGAATTTTGTCTTCCTGTGTCTTCTACCCATTTTATCCCTAAGCTTAAAAGGCACAGAAGCATCAGTTATACAAGACAAGCTTACAGGATTTGTGGGTAGGTGACGCCATTTACTAAAATCATTAGCACAGCTCTTAATCTTAGGCTTACTTATACACATTTCCAGGAGAAGCAAAGAATATACATTCTCACTATTACCATCAGCGAATGAAGAAACACGCTATGTGTGTATATGCTAAAACAAAATCAATTATAATGGAACGTTTGGAATAATGACTGTCTGGGAGAAAAGAACCAGAGGTTCTCACTTATCTGCCAATGTGACAGATGTGGCCTGTCTTTTGAGCCTAGCTCTCTCTGTCTTGCCCACTCTTCTTTCCTTTATTTAGTTCCTCACTCGATGAACCAACATGTACCAAATTATCTATCTCCTACATGCCAGGTACTAGGCTAGATGCTCAAAGTGAGGTGTATCGCTTCACTCTCCTGACCCACGCAGGCAGTCAGATCTCAAGATGCAGGTTCGGAACAGGAGGGAGAAAAATTCCCTTTAGATCTCAGGCTCATGCTGTGTACTCTCAGTTTGCTAGTGTTCTGCACTGGAGTAAAATGATGCCTGTTTTCTATTTAGCACAGTCTCTCGTAACTGTAAGTCCCTTAGGAGACACAAGGCATAAAGAATATGGATCAGAATGCAATGTAAACATTCCTGTATCCCCTAAGAAAATTCTATACAGCAAACTTTCCAATTCTATATTATCCCTTAACCAAATCCTTTATTATTGGAAGGCAGAGTAATTCTGAATCCAGGGCATTTCTTACACTCCAGTTTTTCCTCATCCCAGCTTCTGGTGGGTTTATGTCTTGAAAGTAAACCAACACGGAAAGAATTCTCACTGAGAATTCTATAAGCCACTGGAAGGCAAAGCTGTGCACATTCCAGTGGGGAACTAAAGAAAAACGGGTGCATTCTCCCCTACTTTACCCCTAGAGCCCTCACACAGTGGCAAAAGAATCAGTAATTGACAGAAGTGGAAACTGATTTCCTGGAGTAGCCTTGGAGTCCGAAGGCACCAGGGGCGGGGGTGGGAGTGGAGCAGAGGGGCGCTGTGACGTCACTGAGCTCCCTCCCTTGGAGGCCATGGAGGTCTGAGGAAGTAGCAGGGCCTGGCAGGAGGTGGCTTGCCTCTGGGCACTGAAGGATCTGGTGAAGCAACATCTGCCAGCCAATGAACACAGCAGAGCATTGCTCTGAGCATCATAGAGGGCAACCAGAAGGGAGAAATGGCAGATGCCAGGTAATAGCTGACCAGATTTATTTGTTAGTACATATGGGACTCTCCCTCGGGACCCCCTGAAATAGCTTAAAGGGCCTTGCCGGGGGCTGGGGACACTGCATTAGCAGGTGCACATGAAAGGCATTGCAATATGGGCTTTTTACCAATAATGCTTCATTCTAAAGAAAGAGTGGAGGGCTGTGGGGAAACCAAGATGACAGATTCAACAGAATCACAGAATGTTGGGGCTAAATGGGAACACAGAGATCACCTGGTATGAAATCTTTATTGCTTAAACAGGCAAACAAAAAGCCAGAAAGGGGAAGGGACAGAGAAGGTCACACAGCTGAGGAAGTGGCAGGAGAAAGACCAAGACTCCTGTGTAGCATATCCCCTTTCCAGGCCCTGGGTGGGTTCCACTTCTCCAGTTATGCTGGAAACCTGTGTGGCTCTTGGTGACAAGCAGGCTGAGCCTTGTATTTGTAGACACAGACTAAATATGTGTGGATTGATAGTTTGGGCAGTAATGCTGACTGTTAATTTCTGTATTTGCATCTTTAACAGATCTTTGAAAGAACAGAAGAGGGAAGAAACCAAAGGTCAGGGAGAAGCTAAGTGGTGTGGGGCCTTCCCCATGCCCCACAAGGACCGGCTCCCCTGTTCCCTTATGTGTGGGGATTCTTGGCATACAGAGGGACGTGGGCCACCAGGTTATATGTGTGCACAGATTTGTAGTGTGTGTGTGATGTGATTTTGGTAGTTTCTGTGCTTCTACACAATGCATGTTTCTGATAGAACAGGAAAGAAGGGAGAGAGACTTTGGACAAAGGGACAAGCTCTGTAGAAAGAACATCTTCGATGCAAGTAATAAAAAGGCACGCAATAATGCTTCTCACAAACAGCCACTAGCAAGCCTGTGCCACTGCCACAGCCATAAAACACCCACGCCTGCCATAACCCGTAACCAGTTCTGCACGATGCACCCGCCCAGCCTGCCTCCCGCATCGGCTCTTTACCAGGCTGCCGCAGAGCTCGTCACAGGCTCCCTGGAGAGGGCTGCCCATCCAGAGCGGAACCTGATTACCTTTCTCTCCTCCTCACCACCGAGGGTGGTCCCACCTGCTGAGATGGGAGAAGGAGGGTGAAACTGCAATGATCTGTCACCTTTACAAGGTTTCCAGGACAACACCATGGAGATGGGGACATTTGAATTCCCTACATTCCATCTCCCAATGCTGTGTCCTTTGTTAGACTGCCATGGCCTCCTCAGTTCATGCTCTCTCCCAGGCTGGGGCTGCTGCTTCTGTGGAGCTGCTCCTCAGCAGGCCTGCATGCAGACCCTCCCACATCACTCAGCCACAGCAGCTAAGAACTATTCAGAATAGCTGGTTTTATTCAACACTTAGGATAGGCCTTGCATTTTGCTAAGGGCTTTGTCTACACTACCTTATTTAATTCTTACAACAAATTTATGATGCAGATACCATTGCTCAGATGATTGTTTTGCAAATCAGACAACTGGGGCCTAAATATCACATAGCTAGAAAAAGAATGTGACTCAAAGGTGAAGCCATTGGCCAGAGACTATGATTTCAGGCACTTTATTATAGGTTGGCAGTTTAACCAAGACCACCCTCGTAGTCAGAAAAAAAGTTTAATATTTGGATTTGAAGTAGGTTCAAGTGAGCTGGCAAGGACATGTTGCCCTGTGAGGTTTTCCCAACCCCTTGAAATCATTGGCTTGACTTATCTCGGCACCTTGAACTATCTACTCCACTTAGTGTTGAGTTTATGCTCATCACCCTGCAAAAATGCTTGGCCAGGACCCATTTTCTCCCACAAAAACAATTTTCTCCTCTTGATGGAAAGAATGCTAGTGTTTATGTAACACTTGGCACTTTTCTTATATATTCTCCCACTCAGTCCTCCAATTGGCCCTGTGATGTGGACATGGGAGGGGGTGGCTCTAATCTTACAGATATGGAAAGGATAATTGCCTCACCTAGGAAAAAGCAAACACTTCCCACAACCTGATCACCACACAAATCGATCAACTGGAAACCACTTGGTAACGCTGATGAAACCCTTTCTTCTCCTTCCTGTGTCCTAAAGAATCAACTAGCTAATAGTGTAGAAAACTCTTCCTGGTCTGTTTGCCCTCCTTTCCACCCAGGGAGGTAGACCCTCGGAAGAAACAAGGGTTCTCTTCTTACAACAGGAGAGCAAGTTACAAGATGTCCTCAGAGGGAGGGAAGAGCCACAGTGCCTTCATTAAAAAGGAGATGTAAACATCTGCCTAGTCTTTTGAAAACACTCCCCACTGGGAGCAGAGATGACAAAGAGAAAACATAGCAAAAGGAGAGAACACTGAAATGAACAGGAGGCAGCTGCTCTAGGACAGGGCACTAAAACGTTAGTTAAGAGTGCCAGGTCCCTCAGTGGCTTCCTTGTGTCTACAAAATAAAGTTCCAATGCCTGTCCAGTTTTCTTTCCCACTACTCTGCTGCATGTTCTCTAGGCTCCAATCAAAATGGAAAACCATTCCATGCATATGTTGAAGGCAAGGGCTTGTACACTCGATGCCCGAAAGGCCCAGCCAGCAACGTGATGGCCTGCAGCCAGCTAGGTGTAAGTAAAACAGTATACCAGGCATACTTCTAATGACTATTGACCCTCAGAAAACAACAGGGATCAATGAGGCTGGAAGGCAAACTGGAATGTTTCTGCCCGCTCTAAAGAGGGTGGAAGCTGCCCAGCTCCAGTTAATCATGGCTCAGCTTGAAGGCAGCTTAAGGCTACCAGAGCTTCTGAATGAAAAGAACCCAGCAATGCAGAAATCTACATGAAATATCCTATCATCAAATGTAGATAACTGGTTCATAATTTTTTAAACATATTATAGGCTAAACAACATATTTCTGTGAGCCAAAGCTAGCCAGACAGTAGACAGTTTGAAGCCTTTGTCCTAATTTCTGCCTACACAACTTTATTCCTACTGTTTGAAATACTGTCTCCTCTTCCCCATTGCCTGTTCAAAGCCTATTCAACCATGAGCTGAGAAAGTAATAGAGTACCAAGAAAAATGTCCCATGGTTGCAGGCTTTTTTCTTTTAATAAATAATATGTTACGGAAAAGTGGTATAAAACTTGGCAAAACAGGTTCTAGCGAATATCTTAGGTCTAATAATCTCCAACATGCTAATTTCGTGAAGTGATAAAGTGGTCCTGAGCGTGCTGGAGAGGCAGGAGACAGGCAGCATGGTATCATGCGAGACAGCAACAGCACTCCATGCTGGCAGACGGGCTCCAGTCCCAGCTCTGTCATTCACTAGCTGTGTTACCCTAAGCAGCCAACTTCACTCTCTGAGACTTGTTTGCCTCATCTGAAAAATGGGGAATCATGTCTACCTGCCTACTTACAGAATTGTTGTGACGATCAGATTAATGAGTGAAAGTGTGTGAACATGCTTCCAAAATTCTAAGGCAATAAATATGTAAGTCTCCAACAGGTAGGGATTATTACTAACGTTTTGAGGTTATTAATAAAAATTAGAGCAAGAAAAAACCTGCCCATCCCAGTACAAACAAAATGCCTTTTAAAAGCACACACCTGCTATTCATTTCCAGAACTTAGAAAAAACAAAATATAAAAAGTACATACCCTTTGGCCTAGGAATTTCACTACTAAGAAATTAGCCTAAGAAAATAGTCACGTGTGACTGCATTATTTAGCTACAACTATGTTTATGGCAATATTGTTTGTAACGGGCAAAACATAAACAAAAAACAACTTCAAAACCTCTTATATGTCCAACTATAAAGAGGTTTGGTTAAACACAGCTTGGTATCTCCAGGAGTTAAATATTATGAGTTCATGTCCTTTGCAGGGACATGGATGAAGCTGGAAACCATCATTCTCAGCAAACTGTCGCAAGGACAAAAAACCAAAAACCGCATGTTCTCACTCATAGGTGGGAATTGAACAATGAGAACACATGGACACAGGAAGGGGAACATCACACACCGGGGCCTGTTGTAGGGTGGGGGGAGGGGGGAGGGATAGCATTAGGAGATACACCTAATGTAAATGACGAGTTGATGGGTGCAGCACACCAACATGGCACATGTATACATATGTAACTAACCTGTACGTTGTGCACATGTACCCTAAAACTTAAAATATATTTTAAAAAATCATAAAATAAATAAATAAATAAATATCATGTACTCATTAAAAAGTCTAATACAATTTTGTGGAGAAAAAAATTTAATTATGTTTTGAATAAAAAAGTTAGAGAGTAGTAGAACCCCATTTGTATAATTATGGTTGTATATATTTGCATAGTAAAATATTTTAAAAATTATACAACCCAAAGATAATGAGTTATCACTCTGGTAAGATCACAGAGGATTTTGATTTTCTTCTATTTGCTTACTGATTTTTTTTTCTAAATTTTCTAAAGAGATCGGGTATAGCTTTTATAGTGCCGAGGAAACAACCAAAGTGGTAACTGTATCATTTTCAAATTACAAAATTCTACCCATCCTCCAAGCCCCATTTAAGGAACCACCTTGTCCATAAGACTTGCAGAATGCTACCAGTGGAATGGCACACCACTGCTATTAAAACCACATTTCACTTAGCATCTCTCCCGGGAAACATTACTTCTACACAGTATTAGAGTTATCTGGAGACTTGTTTTATCTCCCGTTATAAACACCTTGTGGATGTGAATCATGCCTAGGACAGATCTTTATATACAATAGACACTTCATACATTATTGAACTGCTTCGTTAAAAGTACACTTAAGTAACTGTTTTCTGAAAAGATGTGTGTTTTGAAGTTTCCTGTCTCCCCAAGGATACACTCTGTCTTTGACTAAGTAGCATAACACTATCAACATCATCATTCCCATCCTGATAAACAGTTATTGTGCACTTACTATATGCCAGATGCATATTTGCTTTTAATAAGACAACATGATAAAAAGTACTCTCTTACACATACACCCACTTTTAGTTGAAGAAACAGACTCAGGGGAGTAAAGTAACTTGCTAAAGGTGGCAGAGTTTAATAAGCAGTGATCTGGTATTTGAACCCGGGTCTGTCTTATTCCGCAGCCCTGAATTTTCTGATCACATTATCCCGCCTTGAACACAGTGGTGAACATGCCTGCAGTGGTCATGTATGTAAGGTTATGAATTCATGGAAAAGCTAGTTGTTGAACTTCCTTTTATCACTCTGCATGAAATACTTATTATAGGACCACAAAATGTCTTTAATTTCCACTGAAGGATGAGACATCAATTATTATCAATTATCCATGTGAAGAGAAACTTAAGCGTAGTGTGATGCAATGGCAAGTATATTGACCTAGACATTATTAAACCAGGGTTCAAGTCCTGGCTCTTCCACCAACTCACTGGGGGAATTTGGGGCACCAGTCAAGTCCATCTGTAGGGAAAGGTTGCCTCAATGGTGACTAGGCTCTCTCAGAATATCCTCCTAATTGTCTCAGCTTTCACTCAGGCCCTCCCAACCCATTCTCCATCCAGCAGTCAAAAAATCAGATTGTGTCATTCTCCTTCTTAAAATGCCTCTGTGAAGTCTTCCACACGTTGAATAAAGATATAGACGCTTAAGATACCATCAGTATAATCAGGCCTCTGCCCACATCTGCAACCTCTTGTCCCCTTGCTTGCTCCATGGAAGCCACATGACCTCCTTTCTGCCCCTCAAACACAGGTCAGCTCCTGCAACTGTTGTTCATTCCTCTTAGAGACCCCTTGCCCCCATTATCAAACCCAAATTGCACACACCAGGGAAACATATTTATCCATCATGCCTACAAATAAAAGTTCCTACCTCAGAGAGGACTTCTCTCCAACCTAAAAACGGCTCTGTTTTTGTCTCCTTTAGCACCTTATATTTCTTTCTCCATAGTGTATCATAGTTTGTAATTACACAGTTCTTCCTGTGATTGTTTGCACAAAGGCCGTCTGCCCATTAACGTTCTCCATGGAGGCTGGGGTTGTGTCTGTTTTGCTTACCATGCATCCCAGCAATGTGTCTCTGCCTGGCTTAAAGTAGGTGTTCACTGTTCAGTAATTAATTAAAGGCTAGAATATTGGTGTGATAATTGTGAGTTACCAGAGCAGATAGGTAGGAATATTTTGGGGAGGGAAAATGGAACATACAATTGGGCTGGGGAACGAAGATGAAGTGCTAACAAGTAGAGTGGCTGGGCTCAAGTGCTGAGACTAACAAGAGCAAGAGATGAGCCCGAATAGGTCCATTAGGGCATACTCGAAGAGCTGGGTCCGTGTCCCTTACCCAGCACCTTGATGGGACATTGTGTGTGTATCGGGAGGGGAGGATGGACACACTGTTCTGGCAAGCTGAGCCCCTCCACCTGCTCCTGACACAGCACCTGCCTCAGATTGGCGTCTGCACCTCTGGAATGCAGTGGGCATTGGCAGGCAGCATCTCAACATTGCATTTCAGTCCTGCCGTGCTGCACTGCAGCTACTGCAGTCTGTCTCATCCCACTCCAACTGTCTCTCTGCTGTGCCAGGAATTTTCACTCTGAGATGGGACCCACAAAACAACAGCTGCTCATTCTTGCTGTCACTCCTCTCAGTAGCAACACTATTTCAATACAGCAAATAGTGCCTGTGCCGCACTGATACGTCCTCAGACAGCCTATCCCATAACTCGGGGGGCAGGGCAGCTGCCAGGGAGAGACAAAAGCTTCAGTCCTTTATATTGACAACAAGAGGTTAATACCTAAAGGAGACAAAGGGGGAATATTTGCTCTGAATATTATTTTTACTTGAAAAATTATCTCATTTATTTTTTCATGCAATTTGTTACCATTGCTTATCAAAGTTCTCTGTAAATGTGCAATCTATGAATAATATATACATACTACTTGCCAATTGTTTGTTTATACAAAACCTCTAGCATGCATTGACCATTTACAAAGCACTGTTGCATTCTTTCTTTGAGCTTCACAGCAACCCTGGGAGGCCAGTGGGACATTATATGAATTTCCTGAAGCTGCTGTCATATATTACCATAAACTCAGTACCTTAAAGCAACAGAAATGTATTCTCTCTCAGTTCTGGAGGCTGGAAGTCTGAAATTCAGCAGTGCAATTCTCCCTCTGGGGACTCCCAGGACTAATCTGTTCCTTGTATCACCTAGGGTCTGGCAGCCACCAGCGTTCCTGGACTCATGGCTGTGGTGCTGCAATACCTGCCTAGGGCTTCACATTGCCTTCTCCTCTGTGTCAAATGCCCTCTGCCCTTTTCTCATAAGGATACTTGTGATGGCATGTAGGGCCCACCCACACAATCCGTGATACTCTCCTCATCTCAAGATCCTTCACTTAGTTACATCTGCAAAGATCCTTTTTCATAGTTTCGAAAGATTTAAAGTAGATTTCCTTTGGGAGTTATTTTTCAGCCTCTCACAGGCATGAGTGATGGTTGCCCCTCTGCAGATAAGCAAACCAAGGTTGAAGGACTTGCCAATGGTCACACAGTTAGTGACAGATGCAACACAGAAATTAAATTTGGGGTTGATTCCATGTTTTTGCTATTGACATTGAAGCAGCTACATTGTCTGGGGTAAATACCAGGGGTTCGTCATCTCGCGCCAAGAAAATTTAGGACACGGGCACACGTGAGTTTAGGAGTGGAGGTTTAATGGGCAAAAGAAAGAGAAATGAAACAGCTCTCTCTCTAGTGAGAGAGAGGGGACTTCCAAGAGGAAAAGGCCTGCCGGCAGTGGACGTACCACATTTTATAGTCGGGCTTGAGGCGATGTTGTCTGATTTACGTAGGGCTCATAGATTGGCTCCATCAGGTGTGACGTTTACATAGCATGGGGAAGGCTGGCCACCCCACCCTAATATTATGCAAATGAACTCCCCCATTGGCTGGCACCATCTTGTCTGCTCCTTACCATACTCGAGGCTGGCAGAGAAGGGAAGATGGAGCTGCCGTTTTGAACGCGTGTAGTCCAAGGTAGTTCTTTCCTGCTGGCATTCATCCGTGCAAGCTCCCAGTTTGCTTGTCTATGTCTGCAGCTCGACTTTACAGGCTGCTCTTTGTTAGAAAATGATTTGGGGCCGCTCTTCATTAGAAGGAACACCTTACCAAGGACTTCCACACTCTATCTAGCTAAGTAATTTCTTCTTAACTCCTGTATCAACATGGATGAAATTGGAAGCCATTTTCCTCAGCAAACTAACACAGGAACAGAAAACCAAACACCACACATTCTCACTTTTAAGTGGGAGCTGAATAATGAGAACACGTGGACACAGGGAGAGGAACAACACACCCTGGGGCCTATTTGAGGGGCAGGGAGAGGTAGAGCATCAGGATAAATAGGTAACGCATTCAGGGCTTAATGCCTAGGTGATGGGTTGACAGGTGCAGCAAACAACCATGACACATATTTACCTATGCAACAAACCTGCACATCCTGCACATGTATCCCAGAATTTAAAATTAAATTAAGTTAAAAAAAATTTTATCACTAAACCCAGGACACTTCAACTTTATCATGTGGCCTCCCAAATGTCCCTCTGAAAGAGGGAGAGGACAAAACTTTCCTTAGCTCTCAAGAACCATTCAGTCTATGTAGGGAGTTCTAGGAAATTCCAGATGGACTCAAAGTCAAGTGACTTGCCTGGGGCTACTTAACCAGTTGGCGGTTGAGCCACCATGAGAGCTACGCCCTGGAAAAGCTTCCTGATATGAGATCTCCCAATCCAGTCACTTCTCCAACCTGCTTTTCTACGCCCAATTAAAGAGATTAGGATCAATGAAGACTTTCTGGAAGCAGCAAACCATAAGTCAAACCCAAAGGAAATAGATGTCTGAAATAGCAGAGAGAAGAGGACAGCACATATTTGACAGAGGCAGAAACCCAAGACCTGTGCAGGAAATAGGGTCAGACTAACTGGACTATAAGACTTACTGCAGGGAAAAAGCTGGCTTCAGTGGAGCACTGTGCATTCTCTACAGCTCACCCTTTCACCTTAGCTGATTCTGACTTTGGGAACTATTTCACAAATATGTAAGCTGTTTGCTAACTGATAGCAATGCAAAATAATTATTGTCTATAGACATGCAAATAAATTCTGTACAGTGGAGGAACAACCTTTTCCCTTCTCCCATGGAAAAAAATTACTTTATCTCTATTTGCAAATTCATTTCAATATTCATGATCTATAGATGTACCTGTTCTGTGGATTCTCTTTTAACTGGTTGTATTATCACACAACCCATTTTCTCATTAAAGGAGTTAAATAAAATCCTGAACACATGTTCGTTTCTATATCTGTATGAGAATCATGATTTTTTTCTTCTATTTTTTAAATTCAAAATTGATTTTTATTCACCATCAGTTGCATAGGCCTTCCCATCAACATTACTGATGTTCTCCAATGCTAGATAAGGAATTGCAAAGGAAATAATGGTCAAGTATGCAAGATTAGAATAACAGAATCTGAATTCACCATTTTCTCCTAGGATTTTTTCTTCCTTGACTCTTTTTTTTTTGAGATGGAGTTTTGCTCTTGTTGCCCAGGCTGCAGTGCAATGGCGCAATCTCGGCTCACTGCAACCTCCACCTCCCGGGTTCAAGCAATTCTCCTACCTCAGCCTCCTGAGTAGCTGGGATAACAGGCATGTTCCACCATGATTTGAACCAGACAGAGAAAGACTCCAGGTGGTTTGTTCATTATCTAATTCTGATTAATGTTCCTTCAGTAAGGAAAGAACTAACCCCTTCAGGTAAGGAACATTAAAGGTTAATAGCATCAAAAGCCAATGTGAAAAATCAGGATTTTATCTTTTATTTTTAGTTATCTTTTACCAGTTCTTAGGGGAATTCTGTGTTCAGAGTTCTGAGCATTCTTGAAGCCAGAAACTACCTTTAAGCTCATCTAGTTTCATGTGTTTTATTGATGAGGAAATGTGGCCCACAGAGGGGGCAGGGCTTGTGTCTGAAAACCCTGCAGGCAGAGCCAGGACTAGTGCCTGGCACCAAGTTAAGAATCCCATAGATCTGGATTCCTATACCAGCTAACCTATAATAAGTATGTAGTGAGGCAAGTTACTTACCTCAAAAAACCTTAGTTTTCAGTACCTGCCTCATAGCACCTATCCCATATGGGTTGCCTTGAGGGTCATATGAGATCATGCATGTATAAAGCAATATCAAAGAATCTGACCAATGAGAAGTATTCAACAAAAGTCAGATGCTAGGACTTTTGTTACACAGTCCTGAGATGGCAGTGGGGAAGAAGGGCTGTGAGGTGACTGAATTTTACATTTGTCTTATATGATACTATCATATTATTATTTCATGTGTATATCCATTTCCCCAATAAATGGGCAAATTTATTGAAGACAGGGATTATCCTCCCCTCTTAGATGAACGCTTTCTGTATGCTTGGGCACTGAGCTAAGTGCTTCACTTCTATCATCTCATTTAATCCTCACAAAACCTAAGGAGATAAGTCATATTATTTGGCTCCTATGATAAAGACTGATAGCTACGTATCCAATATCCAGTATGCCTTTCTTCATTACTAAGTAAACTCCAGTTTTTTAGAGGCAGTAAAGTACCAGACATAACAGTATATCTCTCAACGTCTTTTGCAATTAGGGATGGTTCCCTGGCCAAGTTTGTGAGTAGAGTTTCCGGGAAACATTCTTTGAAAGAAGACTGGCCCGGTTAACAGATGACTTTTTCCCTTCCATGTTTTCCCTATAGACCTGCAAGAAACTCAGATGTGATGGTTGGAGCTGCAGCAGCCATATTGTGCACAAAGCCACACACTAAGAATAAAGAAAGAAGCTATGCACTAAGGATAACAAACAGAAAAGTAGACAGAGCCTGAGTCACTGTGAAATTGGATAAATGCTATATAAGCCTTCGTCTGCCTATTCTCTGACTTCTTTAAATGAGAAAAAAAATAAAATCCTAATTTGTTCAAGTCACTGTTTTGGGGAATTTTTTCTTTCTGCTAGCTGAATGTAATTTCTAACTGCCTTATCCCCATTTTTCAGATGAGAAAATATCAGAGAACTAAAAAGACTGTGCCTATTTAGGTATGCAACGAAAGGTCACACAAATGTAAGACCTGAGAGTCTAGTTGGGTTTTCTTAACCACAAGGCTATTCTGTTTCCACCATGATACACATGATACGTGATAATTTGTGCCCAGAAAAATTCTACTCATTGAATGATTTGCCTGTTGCCTGTTGATTAAACATTCTACTCATTTCTTGCATTCTTCCATCTAAATCAAAATTATTTGGGGACCTTAAATATTAAAGAGAACATTATCAAGATCTGCACTGGGAAATAGGACCTGAATTTCTTCATAGGAGTGAGGAACTTCTTGGACTAAGTAATCTCTAGAGCCTGAATGTCATATCAGCTCTGATATTCTACAATTCTAATGTCATACAGAAATACAATTTTGGAAGTCACCAGGTGGGAAGTTGCTCAGAAGTCCTCAGCATGAATCTCCTCTATAGCATTCCATGACTGATTGTCCATTTTTTGCATACATATTTCCTAGGACAGAAAACTCATTTAATAAATTTTGTAATCTCAGCACTTAGTATGGTACCTGGTGAAGCATTCAGTATGTTTAGTAAGTGAATAAATGAATGAAAAAATGAATGAAGAAAATGAATCCCAGACATCCAAACTCATTCAGGGGAGAAATCTAAGCATATGGAAGTTCTATGTCATACAACGTTTAAATTCATATTTAAAATAATTACATCAACAACAGCAACTACCACTTATCAAGTGATTAGCAGATGCCAAGCACTAGGCTAGCTAGTGTCTTAATTGTGCATTATCTAATAGAGTACAATTTTCCTGCCTATAACTTCAACCCACTAGTCCTCGTTCACCCCTAATAGCTGCCATATGAGGCCTAACTATGGGTGTGGTACCATGCTACATACTTTATATAGCTTCTTTCATTTAATATCTTGAACAAATCTGTGAGGTAGATATATAATCATTTATATGTAGTAATTTTTTTTGAAAAAAGTAAAGATCAGGGAGATTAAATAACACAGAAAGACAATAAGTGAAAGTGTCTGGCTAAAAACCAGGATTGCTGATGCAAAAACCCATGTGGTTAATCACAGTGTGATATCTCGACCTGATGACTAATAGTTTTGATCTCACACATCAAAGTGTCCCCAGACCATACGCAGAACTTCTGCCCTAAACCAATCACAGCCTCTGCCCCACTGTGCCTGCCACTCCCCAGGCTTCTCTCTGGGTGCTGCAGGCAAACCCATCTTTGCTGTTACCTCCTTCATGAAGCAGTCTTTGAATCTGCACCCTTCTACCCACAGTCTGGGAAAACTCTGCCTTCTTCCAAACTTAAAAGCCTTTTGTTTTAACCTCTTGTGTGTTATACATCAATTTCTAGTTTGTATGAGTTATCTGGGGCTACTTTTTAATCTGACATGTTGGTAAGTTCCTAAGTGCTTTTATCAAAAGAACTACTTTTTAATCGTTCTACTCTAGTGTCAATGTTTTAAAACAGGAACCACATCTCACTCAGAGTCGCACCTCCTGCTTAGATGCTCCACAGAGTAGGTATCCACAGGAGACATTTGTTCAGTTAATTGTATGCCAAGTACAGCCTATAAAATTGAGAGTATAGGCCAGGCATGGTGGCTCACGCCTGTAATCCTAGCTCTTTGGGAGGCTGAGGCAGGTGGATCACCTGAGCTTAGGAGTTCAAGACCAGCCTGGCCAACATGGCGAAACCCTGTCTCTACTAAAAATAAAAAATTAGCCAGGCGTGGTGGCAAGTGGCTAATCCTAGCTCTTTGGGAGGCCGAGGTGGGTGGATCACCCGAGCTTAGGAGTTCAAGACCAGCCTGGCCAACATGGCAAAATCCCGTCTCTACTAAAAATAAAAAATTAGCCAGTCATGGTGGCAGGCGCCTGTAATCCCAGCTACTCGGGAGGCTGAGGCAGGAGAATTGCTTGAACCCAGGAGGCAGGCATTGAAGTGAGCTGAGATCGTGCCACTGCACTGCAGCCTGGGCAACAGAGCAAGACTCCATCTCAAAAAAAAAAAAAATTGAGAGTATAGTCATGTAAACATGAAGTTACCATCAGATATCCCTGGCCTCAGTTTGCTCTGCCACACCTCACCTGTGTGACTCAGAACAAGGTTTTTAACCTTACTGAACCTCATTTCTACAACCAGAAAATGAGGATCAATAATAGATCTGTTCCATAGTTTTGATAAAAGAACTTAGGAACTTACCAATATGTCAGATTAACAGTAAATGCTCAATGACTGCTGTTATTTTTATATATCCAATCCATCACTAACTCCACAGTGAAATAGTTGAAGTTACAGAGTAAGAGGTGGTACAACACTCATTTTCAGGGAATTCTACCCTGGATATTCTATGGCTCAGACTCAAGGGTCTATCCCAAGTACAGACACTTCCCTGTATAGGCATACCTTGTTTTATTGTACTACACTTTAATTGAGCTTCACAGATATTCCATTTGTTTACAAACTGAAGGTTTGAGGCAACCCTGCATTGAGCAAATCTATTGACACCATTTTTCCAAAGGCATGTGCTCACTCTGTGTCTCTGTCACATTTTGGTAATTCTCAAAATGTTTCAAACTTTTTTTATTATTCTTATATCTTATATTTCAGATCAGTGATCTTTGATATTACTATCATAATTGTTTTGGGGCTCCAAGAACCACACTCATATAAGACAGCAAACTTAATTGATAAATATTGCATATGTTCTGATTGTCCCACCAACTGGTCATTCTTGTCTCTTCCTCCTGCTCCTCAGGCCTCCCTATTGCCTAAGACACAACACTATTGAAATTAGGTCACTTAAGAATGCTACAATGGCCTCTAAGTGTTCAAGTGGAAGGAAGAGTTGCACATCTCTCACTTTAAATAAAAAGCTAGAAATGATTAAGCCTAGTGAGGAAAGCATGTCAAAAGCCAACACAGGCCAAAAGTTAGGCTTTTTGTGCCAAACAGGCAAGTTGTGAATGCAAAACAAAAGTTCTTGAAAGAAACTGAGTGCTACTCCAGTGAACACATGAATAATAAGGAAGCAAAACAGCCTTATTACTGATATAAAGTTTTAGTGGTCTGGAGAGAAGACCAAACAAGCCATAACATTCCCTTAAGTCAAAGCCTAATCCACAGGAAGGCCCTAACTCTCTTCAGTTCTATGAAGGCTGAGAAAGGTGAAGAGGCTGCAGGAGTAAAGTTAAAGTTGGAAGCTAGCAGAGGTTGATTCATGAGGTTTAAGGAAAGGAGCCATTTACATAACATAAAAGTACAAAGTGAAGCAGCAAGTACTAATGTAGAAGCTGCAGCAACTTATCCAGAAGATCTGGCTAAGAGCATTCATGAAAATGGCTACACTAAACAATGGATTTTCAATATAGATAAAACAGCCTTATTATTTAAAAAAAAAAAAAAAAGACACCATTTGGACTTTCATAGCTAGAGAGAAGAAGTCAATGCCTGGCTTCAAAGCTTCAAAAGATAAACTGTCTTGTTAGGGGCTAATGTAACTTGTAACTTCAAGTTGAAGCCAATGCCCATTGACCATTCCAAAAATCCTAGGGCCCTTCAGAATTATGCTAAATCTACTGTGCCTGTTCCCTATGAATGGAACAACAAAGCTGGGGTGACAGCACATCTGTTTACGGCATAGTTTATTGAATATTTTAAGCCTACTGTTGAGCCCTACTGCTCAGAAAGATTCCTTTTGAAATATTACTGCTTCTTTGCAATGGCCTGGTCACCTATGGGCTCTGATAAAGATACACAAGAAGATGAATGTTGTTTTTATGCCTGCTAACACAACATCCATTCTGCAACTCATAAACCAAGAAGTCATTTCAACTTTCAAGTCTTCTTATTTAAGAAATACATTGTATAAGGCTATAGCTACCATAGATCATGACTCCTCTGATGGATCTGGATAAATTAAAAACCTTCTGGAAAGGATTCACCATTCTAAATGCCATTAAGAAGGACTCATAGAGGAAGGTCCAAATAGCAACATTAACAAGAGCTTGGAAGAAACTGATTCCAACCCTTATGGATGACTTTGAGGGGTTTAAGACTTCAGTGGAGGAAGTGACTGTGGATGTGGTAGAAATAGCAAAAGAACAAGAATTAGAAGTGGAGCCTGAAAATGTGGCTGAATTGCTGCAATTTATGATAAAACTTGAACAAATAAAGAGCTGCTCTTTATGGATGAGCAAAGAAAATATTTTCTTCAGCCGGAACCTAATCCTAGTGAAGATGATGTAAAACATTGTTGAAATGACAACAAAGGGTTTAGAAGAGTATATATATATATATATATATATATATATATATATATATATATATATACATATGTAGTTGACAAGTAAGTGGCTGGGTTCAAGAGGATTGACTCCAGTTTTGAAAGAAGTTCTACTGTTGGTAAAAATTCTATCAAACAACATTTCATGGTACAAGGAAATTTTTCAGGGAAGAGTCGGCAGATGCAGCAAACTTCATTGTCTTATTTTAAAAAATTGCCACAGCTGGCTGGGCACACTGGCTCATGCCTGTAATCCCAGCACTTTGGGAGGCCGAGGCGGGTGGATCACTAGGTCAGGAGATCAAGACCACCCTGGCGAACACAGTGAAATCCCATCTCTACTGAAAATACAAAAAAACTAGCCAGGCATGCTGGCGGGCACCTGTAGTCCCAGCTACTAGGGAGGCTGAGGCAGGAGAATGGCATGAACCCGGAGGGTGGAGCTTGCAGTGAGCGGACATCGCACCACTGCACTCCAGCCTGGGCGACAAAGCGAGACTCTGACTCAAAGAAAAAAAAAAAATGCCACAGCTACACCAACCTTCAGCAACCACCACCCTGATCAATCAACAGTGTCATCAACATGGAGGCAAGATCATCCTATAGTAAAAAGATGATAACTTGTTGAAGGCTCAGATGATCATTAGCATTTTTACCAATAAAGTATTTTTAATTAAGTTAAGTACATTTTTTAGACAATGCTATTACACACTTAATAGACTACAGTATAGTGTAAACATAACTTTTATGTATACTGGGAAACCAAAAACCTAGTGTGACTTGCTTTATTGCAATATTCACTTTATGTTGGTGGTGTGGAACTGAACCCTGGAGGGGTTCCTGGAGGTACGCCTGTATCCTCTTTCAGTTCTTTCCAGATAGCCCCTCTCGATGAGTTGCTATTAGTAGCTGTCACCACCTGCTTAAATCCTTACAGTCCACATGCCATCCTAAATACAATCTGTCTTATATCCATCCACATCCCTCCATCTTCACTGTTCTCCCCATTCCAAATCCTCATACTCTCTCTCAGTGCTATTATGACAGCCTCTTGATTTATCTCCCCACTTCTTTTAGACCCTTTCAATCCAGTCTTCAGTCAGCACTGGAATGACCTTTATCAATAGTCCTTGTCAACCTACTGCTTAAAATCTTTTAATGATTTCCCACTGGTCATAAAATAAACTCCTAACTCCTCATCATGGCCTATGAAGGCCTCATGATCTGGGATCTCCCCAATTCCCCATCCCATTTCATACCTTTCTCTCTACCTTGCCTTTGCTCACCATGCTTCAAACATCCTAGCCTTCTTTCCACTGCTGGAAACTGCCAAGCTCTCTCCCAACTCCAGGCCCTTGCATTGGTTATTCCCCTGTCTGTCAGGAATGGTCTCCCCATAGCACCTTGTGTGGCTCATTCTCATTCTCAACTCTCAGCTCAAATGTATGTCTTCAAGAAAGACCCCACTGACCACCCCCCTCCAATATGGCTCACTGGTAAGCCTCTCATTCATCACTGTATTTCTTTCCTGTCACCTATACTGATAAATATAGTTTTTTTTTTTAGTTAGTATGAGTCTCCTTCATTAGAAAAGAACCCTGAGGCAGAAATCTTGCATGACTTTTCACCATTGTGTGTGTACCAAGTACTACTTATGGCACTCAGCACTTATTGGTGCTCAGGAAATACAAAATATGTGTTGAATAAATTAATTACTGGTCTAATATTTGGTAAAAGGTATGACATGTTTCCAATCCCTAACCTGCTGAGGTATAAGGAGAAAAAGAGACACTGACCCAAGTGACACCCAACTCAGTTGAAGCCGAAGGGGATTCCACCCAGAATTTCTACTGCTCAAACTCAAAGATCTTTCTCAAGTGCAAACCAGTTCCCTCCACCATTTTCCAGATAATTTTCTGTCAGTCACTGCCATCCACCCTCCCTCTGCTTCCCTACCAGAAGCCATCACTGCCTCCTCAACCCAGTCTCTCCTTAATTCTTTGCTGCCTCTCTACCTTCTGCCAGGAAAAAAAAAAAAAAAAAAAAAGGAAAATAAAACACAGGCCTTCTTCACAATTGACTGCTAGTTGCTATGTGGACACATCCAAGAGTTAACAAAATTTATAAGAATTCCAGAATTTCACAAGAATTCATGATTATGGTCCTTGGTCCATAATTTCTGACTCCCTCCTGAGATGGTAACATAGGGCTTCTGTCTGCTATGAGGATTGGATTCACCAGCCTTCCTTCCTACAATCTAAAACAATCACACATGTCAGTCTGACAAGGCCATCTTTGTCTCAGATTGCCACCTTCGTTTCCAAAGGTTGTACGATAGATCCTCCCAGCTCTCCAGGGCTCTGCCATCCTCTCTCCCCGTGCCTGACACTCAGAGATGGGGATGGCTCCTACAACTTGTGGGCAGATGACTGCTGATATATCAGCAACCAGCCTAACACACCAAAATAATCATCTTTGTGCCCCTTTAGGCTTGGATATCAGTGTATATCCTCTCCCAGGCACTACATAAATCCTTGTCAGTGAATTGGTTGAATCATGGAGAGCTATGCTCAGTTGGTCTTTATGGTTATAACACTTTCAAAGCTTGTAAACAGGCTTGAGATTACAGTACAGTGGAAGATGTTATAGGCATGCAGACTGAAAGAAACAGCTTCTAGCCATTTAAATGCTTAGTGCATCCTAAATAAATCCCATTCTGCCTCTCTTACTGCAAATGCCAGAGAGATGGAAGGTAGGGGAGAATTACCTACCCATGTCCACTGTCAATATCCCATCTTGAACCTCTTTACTGTCATTGTTTGGCTGCAAGCTACTTGGCAAGCTGTTTTGAAAGCCCCCAGGTTGTTAAATTCAAGGAATTCATATAAGAAGCCAGGAGAAAAACAGCAGCAGCAACAATAAAACACAAGCGTGGTACATTACAGAAGTGCTCCTCCCCCTTCTCTATTGCTCTCCCAAGACATTACCCCCTGCCATGAGCAAGTGGGAGACCTAGACGTTGCTGGTGGAGTCTGGTGTGCTGTGCTTGCAGGAACCCTATTAGCAATGCACAGAGATTGCCTGAGCCAGGCAGGAGGAATAGTGCCAAAGGCTTAAGATGCAGGGGGACAGTGATCCACCCACGCATGGGAGCAGACACCACACAAAGTGTGAGGGTTTTTGGAGTCCTTCTATGTGCATTGTATTAGATGGTTCCTATAGAAACCCTGCAAAGATTTCTCTTCTTAAAAGAGCAGGAAGCAAACTCAGAAAGGTTCAGTGATTTGCTCAAGGTTACACAGCAAACAAGATAGAAAGTGCTGGTTCTCAAGGCTAAGAATGCTGGTTTTTGCTGCGGCTTTTTACATTAATAAAAATAATCCCTGTTTATAACATATAAAACAGTCAAACATTAATGTCTCTGTGTTGGACACTTAGACACCTGCCCGATATCCATCCCTAACTTTTGTGTTACAAATGGAATCTCAGGTCTGCTCAGGGCAACAATGACCCCAGTCTGGAACAACAAATCATTGGTCTGAGACAGTTTTTCTCAAAATCTAGTGTATCTGAATCACCCAGAGAGCTTGTTAAAATACAAACTGCTGGGCCCACTTCCAGGGTTTCTGATTCAGTAGGTCTGGGGGATGGCGGGGAGTGAGAATTTGCATGTGTAACAAGTTCCTAGGTGATGGTGATGATGCTGGCCTGGAGGCCTCACTGGGAGAGCCACTGGCACACACTGATCATGACAGTCCTGGCTCCAGCTTGCTTGCAACCAGGTGTGGCTATGTCTCTCAGCACTTTCAGCACATAAAGAGAAGGCTACTGGGGACTTCAGGAACATTTTCCTTTCTCGATTAAAAAAAAAAAAAAAGGTAGGTATAGTTGATGCCACTATAACCTCTTTGTCCTGCTTTGTCCAGAGATGTGATGCCTGGGACTGCAGCAGACATTGTGTCCCTGAGACAACAAGACAACATTTTAGGGAGGGGTGGTGGCATAAAAGAAACATCTGAGTCATTCAGGACATAGTTGAGGCCCTGCGTTAGCCCTGGACAACCTATCTCCAAACTTCTTCCTATTTTAGGAACTTGAACAACCTTTATTGCTTAAGCATCATTAGGCAGGTACTCTGTTACCTGTAGATAAAAGCAATTATAACCTTTACAAAAAGTTTCTGCAAAACAATTTTTTTAAATAATCAAACAATGGCAATGAGTGCCTCCCAGTATGCAAGTCATCTTTATAATCATTGGTACATTTTGTCCTTAAAGGAACCATAACATTCGCTTATTTTTTTTTCTACTGGTAGGGATACCTGACCGAAAAAGTTTGAAATCCATTGCCAAAAAGCATGCTTTGAAAAATACTGTTCTTGGTATTAAATACCTTTTTAAAAAATTAATACTGAATAAAATATGTGGACCAGGAGAAAAATTTCCTGAAGATGTAGGGTTAATTTCAATTCCATCTTTACAGACCCATCATGCCTAATATGCAATAATTACCCCCACAGACTAGTTAGGCAAAATGAAACTCGACCTTCTGGACACATTTGTTACCAGATTAGAGAAATTACTAATTACTGTGTACTCCAAATGTGTTCCAAGAAACTGAAGTTCCATAAAATACTCCACCACAAAAAAAAAAAAAAAAACTTTGAGAAATGATGCAGAAGGTACAAAAATACATGTTAATATTAACAGCTCTAGGCCAGGCGCGGTGGCTCACACCTGTAATCCCAGCACTTTGGGAGGCTGAGGCAGGTGGATCACAAGGTCAGGAGATCCAGACCATCCTGGCTAACACGGTGAAACCCTGTCTCTACTAAAAATACAAAAAATTAGCCGGGCATGGTGGCAGTCGCCTGTAGTCCCAGCTACTCAGGAGGCTGAGGCAGGAGAATGGCATGAACCCGGGAGGCAGAGCTTGCAGTGAGCTGAGATCGTGCCACTGCACTCCAGCCTAGGCAACAGAACGAGACTCCATCTCAAAAACAAAAATAAAATAAAAAATAAAAAAAAAAATTAACAGCTCGGAGAAGTCCTGTGGTAGAAAAATTATATTCTGTCTGATGAAGCCTTTCCTAAACTTACTTGTTCACAGAACACTTTCCTCCTTGATACCCACTACTCCCTTTCAAAACACTTGAAAAAAATGCTGACTTAATAAAATGGTAGTCAAGACTATCTTTTGGCATAAACAGAGCATGGTAGAAAGCTGTAAGTACTGCTGTTGATCTACTTGGGTTCAAATCCCAGCTCTGTCATGTACAGTCACTGATTCTAAGGTGCATATTTTTTCACATTTATCATTTCTTAAAATCAGTTACATGTTTTAGTTTTATTAGCAGCATTTTTTAGTGTAAACAAAGTAATGGTACATCTTATAATTAATGCACCATTAGTTATTTAGCAAGATATTTAGACTTGGTAAAATACAGTACATGACTTTGAGCTAGTCACTTAACCACTGTGCCTCAGTTTCCTCATTGGCAAAAGGGAAAGATTACTGCATAGAGTAGATGTGTAAGTTAAATTGTTCCTGGCACAATGTAAGTGCTCAGCAAATGTTAGCTATCCTGATTAATTATTTCAGGAACACTAAAAGGACACTCCAAATCACTCATTCACTTATTTTTTCATTCTTTCTTGTAAGTCATAAAATGCAAATACTTCAGGGAGAGAGGACCACAGACTGGTGGTCACACTCAGGTATAAAGACTAATAGAGGAAGAGGGGATGGATCACAATGCACAAACAGTATACAATGATGGAAAAAGTAGTTGGGCCAAATCTAGGAGGGAAAAGGATAGGACTGAGGTCAGAGGTATGTTCTCCTTCCTCAATTTTTCTCAGTGTTGAATCCAGGTTTGTTTCCCCTAAGGACCTGATATTACTCTTTGCTTAGAAATTGAACATCCTCAGCAGGCTTCAGCCCTAAACGGCATCAGGCATTCACAGACAGCCTCATGAATGGAAGAAATTGGACACTGGGAAGGCACCAGAAGGAAGGAGCCAAAACAGATGACGGAAAGAAGCCAAAGGCCAGCTTTTGTCTCCTCATCCTTCTGAGCATTCAAGCATGGAAGAACAGAAGCAGGGGACTGAAAATCCTAAAAGCTTAACAACCACTCTTAAAAACCCGATACCACACTGTGGAAATCTCTTCTTTTTTCCCCTTTGACAACTGTTTAATTATGTGTCAGTACCACCTTCATTGTTAGCATCATTATCTTTAAATTAGTGTGGCCATTTTTCTAATGGAGCCTCATTTTATTCTCCTAGGTAAACTTCAAAAAAATTTAGCCAGGGAGAAGCAGAGGAGAAATACTTAATGGAAAAAGTATAAGCCTCAAAGGCACAAGAGCTTTAAGAATAGGCTCAGCCATGTGCTAACTGAGTGACCTTGAACACGTCATTTAATCTCAGTGAGGTGCATCTGCAAAATGGAGATAATGCCCCTTACCTTACCTAGTGAAAGAAGTTGCCATGAATACCAACTTAAATACATACGTGACAGTGTTCAACAAAAGTAAGTAATTAAAAAGACAAAACAGCCATTAAAAATTAACATTTACATTTCCTTTTTCCAAACAATCTCATGTGTTGGGACTCTATCTGACCAAAAAATAAGCACCTGTATAGAAGGAAACAGTTCAGCGGGTCCAAGAAGGAAACAGTTCAGCGGGTCCAAGAAGGAAGGGAAAGAGGGAGAAAACAAACTTGAAAATTATTTGACTGTCCCTTAGTAGGGGACTGGTCAAAAAAATTTATGGTACAGCCATACTGTACAATATTATGAAGCTATTATTACATGAGTTTGATTTATGTATCCTGACCTAGAACAGTTTCTCTGATATATTTTTAAGTCAGAAAAGCAAATAATATAGAGAGTTTTGTCCTGTTCTTTTAAGAAAGAAGTGGAATAAATTTTTATCTTTATAGGAACATTTCCTAAATGTGTGGAAAAATACAGATCAAACTGTAACCATTGATTATCTGGGCAAGGTGAAATTAAAGGAAGACAGAGGAAGATTATTAACATCTTCATGCACCTCTGAATTGTTTAACATAGTAAAATAAATATCCATTAATTTGGTAACTTGAAGAATCCCTGTATTAGTCCATTCTCACACTGCTAATAAAGACATACCCGAGATTGGGTTATTTATAAAGGAAAGAGGTTTAATTGACTCACAGTTCAGCATGGCTGGGGAGGCCTCAGGAAACTTACAATCATGGCAGAAGGGGAAGCAAACATGAGCTTCTTCACATGGTGGCAGGAAGGAGAATGAAAACTGAGCAAAGGGGAAGCCCCTTATGAAACCATCAGATCTCATGAGAACTCACTCACTACCATGAGAACAGGATGGGGGAAAGTCCCCCACCATGATTCAATTATCTCCACCTGGTCCTTCCCCACAACTTGTGGGGATTATGGGAACTACAATTCAAGATGAGATTTGGGTGAGGACACAGCCAAACCATATCAAATCCATAAAGCTGGAAGGAAGGGAAAGAAAGAAGAAGCAAAAAGAAAGAAGGAGGAAGCAGGGAGAAAGAGAGATCTGTTATCTTTGATCAAAGTATAGGGAAGTACCTTATATACCCACAAGATTTCAAGAATCACACTCTGTCCTTTATGGATATTGGGAATTTTAGGACATCACATTGACCTAACAGAGTATGCCTTTTTGAATCACATATTTCCTCCTTCTATCAGAGTCTGCAATGTTCCATGGGATCCAGAGAGAATTTCTTTGCTGTTACAGTTCAGTATAAGTTTTTATTTTCTGAGCTGAATGTTTATGTCATTTTCCTTGAATCTTAAATGTAAAATTCCTTTGCCTACCACTTTTATCTTTTTCTACCTAATGTATGAGTTTCTCATCCCCTTAGAGTTTTTTCAGACTCACCCCTAGAGGAACAGACACATGGAGACTCCTGTATTTCTGAGACCTTAGTGTGACATCAGAGATGTGTGCATTGGTATTTGCTTCCTGGCACCATGCTCTTTTCCTCTACTCAGCTTCAGGACACGTTAGTAGCTACCACATGCAGCTATTATGTTTTACCAGTTGGAAACTTATGACAGATTAGTAACAAAGCTTCAGAGATCCTTGGGATGTAGTATGATGCAACAGAAAGCACTCAGGACTCGAACACTTTTTAAAATAATAAAACACTATGCTAGTGAGCATGTAGAGAGAAGAACACTCTTTAACCATGATGGTGTGAGAAGAAATAGCTACCACATCTCTGAATAGCAGTTTGGTGAAAGGTATGAGAACCTTAAAAATGTTCATATATTTAAAAAAAAATTTCCTAAGGAAATAATCAAGATATACCGAAAATAAACATGTATATATCTCACATATTTATTGTGGGAATTAGTAAGTTAATTCATATAAGATGTTTAGAACAATCATTTAGATGTTTATATGACATGTTTAGAACATCATTTAGTTCCAGGTAGTAGCCAGAAAGCCCCGTATAAATGTTAGCTGATAATAACAATAATAACAACTGTTATTATTTCCCTCTTCAAATTCCTCCTCCCTTTAAAAACTTCTAAAGTATCTTTGTATTATATTTATAATCAGAAAAGAAAACTTAAATAGAGATGTCAATCCCAAAGAAATAATCTAAACTTTTTTAAGCTTATGCCCCAAGATGTTCATACTATCATTATAATAATGACAAATTGGTATAACTTCAATGTATAACAGTAAGGAGTGGATTAGGTAAGTGATAAGGCCCTCATATGATTGAGCATCTTACGGAAATTAAAAATTATGATTCTGAGTAATTTTAATAACTTGCAGAAATGCTAATGCTCCTAAGTTAGGGAGGTAATAAAAAGGACACAATATCATATATAAATACTCTCAACTATGGCCAAAAAAAAAAAAAATGGTGGGGATGGAGCAAATGAGCCTAGAAGAAATTCTAACAAAATGCTAGCTAATACCTTCTTCCTTCTTCCTACTTCTAAATTTCACTCCCTCAAAGAGGTTCCATGGAATGTAAATTTTCAGGGAATAGAGGACAGCCTCCTAAAACATGGGGACAAGAACAGCCCTCTGCTAACAGAACTTACAGAACATTTAAACAGGAAGAATAATTAAGGGAGATATGATGCATGGGGGAAGAACAAGAGTTCTGGAGTTACATGGACCAAAGTTCAAATCCCAGCATCACTCTTTACTTCCTGGGTGGCTTCGGGTGAGTGATTCAACCTCTTTAAAACTCTACTTCTTCCTTAGTTAATTGGCAGTAAGCATAGTACCTATTCTACCATGCATGAAGATCAAATAAGCAATGCACATGAAGTGCTTGGCTTAGTGCCGTACCTAACGAGTTTTCAGCAACTATGATGGTGGGGGTGTCGGGGGTCATTGTGATGGTGGCATTTTCAATCTCCTCATCTCACCATGAGTAAATTGTGGCCCCAAGAAGTGAAGGAACTTGTCCAAGTCATTTACCCAAACAAACCCCAATCCTCCAAATTTCCTGTCTCTGCCCCTTCAGGTTGTTTCTTTTTATTGCTTTGAAACTTCCAATCCTGTTTTCCCTTTGGGGAACAGCTGAAATCATCACTTTGATATTTAAAAACCCAGTTACTATCATGTGCCCAAAGTAATAAATGTTTTAGAATTTCAATTAAACAAAATGAGAAGAGCTGGATCTCTTTTCTCTATCTAATGAGTCACACAGACCCATTACCCCACTATCCATTAATTATAACAAGGTCAGCACATTACCCAAAGTCTCCTCATGACTGTATAATGAACCTATGCAGTGCTGTGCTGTGAGCAGACCCACAGAGAGACTCCAAGCCAGGGCTTCTAGAGTTTCTGTGTCATTTCTCTTGGCAATCAAAACAGAGGCCTTGAAGCCAAGGAAGGTTCAGACACATTAAGGCAAGAGGTCCCAGGAAAAACATGTCTGAGATTTACACATCTAACCTGGAAGTCAGGAAGCACCAACTGTCATTTCTATTGATGTTCGAGTGCAGCATTCTTCCACAGTGTGTTTTCCATCTGTTGTTTCTGTCTCCTACCCTAGAATTTCTACTTCTTACAAGAAGACATCTTAATACTTATTGACCACCTACAATGTACCAGGCACGTACTGGACATCATTATCACCACCATTTTACAGAGGAAAAAGGGTCTCAGCCTCAGAGGAGTTAAGTAGCTTGCCTAAGGATCCATGGCTAGTAAGTCACAGGGATGAGATTTGAATCCTGACCTCAAACCCCATAGTCTTAACTACTAAGATTCTTGTCTGTCTTCTAATGACCATTTCCAATGAATTGGAAACAGATCTCTACATAAGGATTAGCCCACTTTTCCCTGCTGATCTGAAGATCAAATGAGATAACGGAGGAAAAGCAAATGACATATTGGTAAAATATATAAGTTCATATGATTTTAGTGCTGGGCACTTAGTCGGCACCCAGTAAATATTTAGAATGATAGAATTTCATATCTGGAGAAGATTTCAAAAAAGCATCTGTCTCAACCCTCTCATTTTATGGAGAAGAAGAATAATCTGGTTAAAGAGACAAAGCCAATTGAAAACAGAAATGGGGTTGACTTTAAGTCTGGCTCTCCCATCCCTTTCCCAGTGGTTTTCAAACCCTGCTCCCTACTGTACTGGGGTTTTGCAGTGTTTTGGGGAGGGTTGTTGGGGACTAAGGAAGGGATACAGTCCCCACAACCCTCCCTCCCTTCAACAAGAATAGATCTGCTTTTATCTATTTTTGAACTGGAATCTTGGACAAGACTTTATGTGACAAAATTATTCTGCTGCTTAAAAAAAAAAGAAAATTTGAAAACTGGACTTGATATTTAATTGTTGGAGTGCACAGAACTATATCAAGAAATAAGAAATTTTTATACACCCTTCTCAGAAACTGATAGATCAAGTAAACAAAAAATAAAGATATAGAAGATTTTCCTAATGCAATTAATGAGCTAGACCTAGTAAACATGTACGAAAGTTCGTACCTATCAAATGAAGTACATTGATGCTTTCAAGCATTCATGGGGAATTTACAAAAATAAAAGACACAAAGGAAGGCTCAAGATATCCCAAAGAATCAACATCTTACAGAGTCTGATCACAGTAGAATAAAATTAATAATTTTAATTATAACTTAAAAGTTATATATATCTACAAACTAAAACAAAAAATGCTACTGAACAGTCCTTGAGTTAAAGAGAAATTTATGAGTGAAATTATAAAACACTTTTTTATCAAAAACAATGAAATCAATACACATTGATAATTGTAGAAAATGGCCAAAGCTGTACTAGAAGAAAAAATTCTAACTTTAAATGTAATTAACAGAAAGCAATAATAATTAAAAGTAAGCAAGCTAAGTGTTCAACTCAAGAAAATAAAAAAGAATATCAGATATACCAAAAAAGTAGGATGGATATATTTTTATATATAGAAAGTAATAAAGAAAAAAGTAATTACAAAAATTTAAAAAATCTAAAATATGGATGTTTGAAAATAATAATGTGAGAACACCTCTGAAATGGCAGATTAAGACATTTTAAAGATAGTATATAAATTTTTTAAGCCACAAATTGAGAACAGGTCAAACAGAATTTTTAATTCCAAAATTATAAACCATACATAAAATCAGAAATCTAAATGAAATATAAAATTTAAAAAATATAAATATATATCAAAATTGATACAAGAAAGAAATATAAAAAATTAAATAATCTAATTAGACATTTAAAGAATTGAGATAACAATAAAAGTCCTTTGCTCTCTCGAAAAAAAAAAAAAGCCTTAGGTTCAGATAATTCTACAAAAGAGTTCTAATAAACTTTCAAGGAAGAGATAATAATCCCTCACTGTACAAATTGTAAAAGAAAAAAAGAGGAAAATATTTTCAATGAATTTTTAGGTGACTTATATAAACTTTACATAAAAACTGAGAAAGAACATTACAAGTAAAAGAGAATTATATATCTATCCATTCAAACACATATAAAAGCCCCCCAAAAAAATGTTAGCTTTAAATAATTTTTCAGACAATCCATTATGATTAGGTAGGATTTATTCAAGAAAGGCAATTGTTAAATGGTTTAACATTAGAAAAAACTATCCATGTAATTCTCCACAATCATGGATGCAAGGAGGAAAATCACATTGTTATCTCAATAGTTTTTTTAAAACATTTTATAAAATTCAATATCTATTTAATTATAAAAACCTTTTGAAAAACAGAGATGAAAGAGCTTCCACTGATAAAGGCTATATTCCATTAACCTATATCCAATATAATATCCTACTTAATGAAAATCCTATATATTGTCTTCAAATCTTCAAATCAAGAATAAGCCAATATTTCGTATATCACCAGTACCGTTCAAAATAATACTGAAAGCTATGCCCAATTTAGTAACACAAGAAAAATAAAAGCATACTATTAGGAGAAGAGAGACAAAACTTTCGTATTAGCAGATTATATGATTATCTATCTATAAAACCCAACAGAATCAGGAAACAAACAAATAGAATAGAATTCAGTAGGGTGACCAGATTTCAGTAAACATATAAAATGCAGTAATATGTGTCTACACCAGCAATAACCAATAGAAAACAGAAATTCATTCATAATAGCAAAAATAATAAAATAGCTAGGTACTATGAAGGAATAGTGTATAACACCATATTTTTAAATTCACTTAATGGCATAAAGAAGACCAAGAAAGAGAGAGTTATAGTCATGGATCAGATATTTCACATTTGAAATAATGTTAATTTTCCCCTTATTTTTCAGTGCAACTTTAACTAAAATTTCAGCAGAATTTTCTGAACTATTTGACAAATCATATCTTTCAAATGAGTTCTCTTTGTAAAAATAAGCAAGTTGATTTCTGCTTTCTGTATATAATAAAGAGTGGGGTGGGAACCTACCATGTATAACATTACTAACATTCAAGAAAGGAGACCTAGAAACCAAGACAATGACTATGAGACTCTTGTAAGTCTTTTAACAATTTTCATAGCATTCTTGTCTGTCATTGTGGTGAATTCCCATTCTCTATGAACTCAGTTTCAGTTTCTCAACCCGCAAAGTGATCTCTGGCAATGTTTTTCAAAGCACTGTCTGTTATTTACCAACATAAAGGAGTCATGGTGCTAGTGTTAGGAGGTCAGAATTCTGCCCTGCCCAGGCCTTTTGTGGGGAATGTCTGCTACTTTTAGTCTTTCCTGTTTGAACATTTCTTCTTTATGGAAACTATCCTTTCCCCAAGCCAAGTGAATCTGGTGATTCTATCACTCAAGTGACCCTGCTTTCTCTGCTTAGGCAGCAAACTAAAGAGAGTGTCCAAAGAGATGATGTACATCTCTTTGGACACTTCCACTGTGGGAATTTGACCCGAGCAGGGCCAATCCAAATCCATTAGAGGGGTTAACGTGGAAATGAAAAAGAGAACATAGCACCCTTTCCTCTGGGATCACTACCTATGAGGATAATACAAGCCTGGAGTTCTGATGCCTATTTTTACTACCATGTGGAGAAAGCATTCCTAAGGATGAAGCCAATAAATAAATTAGAAGAACAACTTTTTAGAAAAGAGAGAGGGAGCTTTAATGATATTATTTTTTTTTTTTTTATTATACTCTAAGTTTTAGGGTACATGTGCACATTGTGCAGGTTAGTTACATATGTATACATGTGCCATGCTGGTGCGCTGCACCCACTAATGTGTCATCTAGCATTAGGGATATTATTTTAACTGCTAGATGGAGTCATGCCTGAAGCTAACACCACCTCTTTGATTCCAAAATAGAGAAGCCATTACTTCTGTTTTGGCTTTGCTTAAGTTGATTTTAGTTGAATTTCTATGACTTCCAACAGAAAGAACCTGTGCTTATTATGGCTACTGTGTCAGAAGCTCTGAGCAAGTATTGCACTTTTATAAGCTCCCTGGGAGAGACCGATGTATATGAAAGTTTGAGAATTAATCTGTGGCTTCTTCATGCTCTAATTGACAAAAGGAGCAACAGAACAGGATGTTGGACTTAAACAAAATGAATATCCAACTCATGATCTAGTCCTTGCTTGCTCCTCCAGCTTGGATTGATGTCATTTTCTCCCTCTCCCAAACTAAGCCTCTTTTAGTTCCTCAATAGGACTTCGCTCACCTTAGTACATTTGCATGTGTTTATCCTCTTATTCTTCAACAGAACTGGCTGATTCTCCATTTTTAGGTCCCAGATTAACTTTCAGAGTCTCAGATGACTTTCCCAGGGTCCTTCCCGTACCATTCCATGGAAAGAAGGTTATCTCTCTCATTATCCACTATTCTGATCACCTTGGTTTTTGTGGGGTTTTTTGTTTGTTTGTTTTGAGACAGAGTCTCACTCTGTCACCCAGGCTGGAGTGCAGTGGCATGATCTCAGCTCACTGCAACCTCCTCCTCCCAGGTTCAAGTGATCCTCTGAGTAGCTGGGACTACAGGTGCGTGCCACCACACCCAGCTGATTTTTGAATTTTTAGTAGAGATGGGGCTTCACCATGTTGGCCAGGCTGGTCTCAAACTCCTGGCCTCAAGTGATCCACCTGCCTCAGCCTCCCAAAGTGTTGGGATTACAGGTGTGAGCCACCGCGCCTGGCCCCTTATTTTATCTTTATAGTTTTGATTGCAATCTGTGTTAACTAACTTGCTTTTGTCAGCTTTCCTATGGAAAATAGGCTCAAGAAAGTAAGGGCCTATCTGTCTTGATCACTATTACCTTCCACATGCCTGGCACAGAGCCTAACACCTAGCAGGGTTTGCAATAATCATATTTGTATAAACAAATAAATCATCATAATGCGGGCACTTACCTGTCAGCCTTCCTTGGGAAAATCAGAAAAAAAAGTCAGCATTCACTGGAGTGAGCCCGGGAGGCGGAGCTTGCAGCAAGCCCAGATCGCGCCACTGCACTCCAGCCTGGGCGACAGAGCGAGACTCCGTCGCAAAAAAAAAAAAAAAAAAAGTCAGAATTCACTCAGTATCTCCCTTGGTTAAGTCAACCACAAAGCGGGAGGAGAAGGGGCTAGGAAAAGACATAGAGACTTTGCTTCTATGAGAATTTTCAGATGCTTGTAGTATGCAACCTTGTGCATGCTTCTGTGAGCAACAGAATCATCAGGTAACCCTCAGCAAGATGTAGCTCCTGTCTTCAAAGAGCTGCTCATCTGGCTGGAGAAAGTTAACATAAGGAGCAGTGGGGGCAGAGAGAAACCCAAGGAATGGCCACTCCAGAATTACACTGCCTCTTCGCAGATGCTATTAGCATCTATGGCAAAATAATTTGTGAACCTAATAGAGAACAAAAAGAGAAAAAGAACAGATGCATCTATACCATACCAAGGGAGAAAAGAAGCAATTAAACTGACATCCCTTATTCAACAGCCTGCAGGCTCTTCAGAGAGGCTTGGGGTTGGTGCTGCATCTCTTTCTTCCTCGGTAACTTAGTCTCATTTTCCCCTTCTGGCATCTTATTGCAGTAATAGGTTTGTTATTATGGCTCTGAAGTCAGAGCGACACAAGAACAGGAGAAATGAGAGGAAGGAAAAAGAAAGCTGAACATGAGGAGATGGTTTCTTGCCCAAGAGTTCTTGCCACATTAAGATACAGAGGGAAAAACATTTCTCTCACTTGTATTTGCCTTTCTCCTTCTTCAGCATGCTCTGAAATGAGCTACAGGGTAACAGAAGAGGCTTTCTTTGAGAACATGTCTGTTCAGTTCCCTGAAAGAATTAAATTACATTCAAGAGGCACATACTTACTTTGCTATTAGGTGAGGGAAGGAGGAGGGAGCTTATATATATTAAGTGCCCATTTTCTGCCAGGTCCTGTCTAGGTGCTTGGAAAATGCTGGAAGAGAACACAGACATGCCCCTGTTCTCTTGGTGCTTATATGCTAGTGGGAGAAAAGACAGCTATCAAATAAAATAAAATAGATCACACAGATAAATACAAATATAAGACTCAGGAAAGTTTGAAGTTCCATCCTGCTTGGGAGATCTTTCACCTGGGAAATCGACCTTGCAGGAAACACTCCTCTGTGTCTGCAGATCAGTAAACAGGAGACTGGTGTGTATAAAGACCCTGAGAATGGATGAGTTGCAGCTGCTCGGGAGACTTATGGGACCTCTGCCTCAGTCAGCTGACACTACTAGCCACAGGGACTTGAAGGGCTGGGACTTCCAGTGAAAAAAAATGCTGCTCTGCCCTCTGCTTTGTGTAGCTGTCTTCATGAACTTAAACTCTTACTTCTTTTAATTGCATTAAAGAGACATGCATTCTTTGCCTGGGTCTGTTAGTATCTCTTCAATCACAGCCACCCCTGAGACAATCCTATAGAGATAATTTCAAAGAGTGGCAAAGGCCCAAGAAGGGAACAAAACCAAGTGCAGTGACATTGAGTGCCTGGGAAGACGGGAGCAACATAAATAAGGATGCTCAGGGGAGGCCTCCCTAAAAACATGATGACAAGTGGCAGCCAGGCCAAGATCAGACAGAGGGTACACACCCGCTAAGTGCCTCAATGCAAATGCCTTGAGGTAGAAACAAGACTGACATTCGAACAACAAAGGGAAGGTCATGTGGCGAAGGAAGTGTCGCTCCAAGTATAGTCCCAGGCCATGCCATGGGAATTTAGTAGAGACGCACATTCTCACCTTCTCGCCCAAGAACCAGAAACTCCAGGAGTGGAGCTCAGCTATGTGTGTTTAACAAGTGCTCCAAGTTATTCTGAGGCACATTCAAATATGAGAACCACTAAGCTAGAATATACTGACAAACAGGGACTTGCATAAAGGGTGGAGCCAACGCACCCTTTATAAGCCAGTTGCCAGATTGTAACAATAAGCAACTTATGTCATCTCAGTTTTTCATCATTGAATCTTTGGCACTTACCATGCTGCCTACTACAGAGTAGATGCCCAATACTCATTTGTTAAACAAATAAATTAATATAAATATAGAGAGCCTCTACTTGAATGATCTGATACCAGTTACAACAATGATATGCAAGATCAATGGTACTTTATAATATGAAAATGAAGACAAGAGAAATCAGAGAAAAAATAGAAACCATTTCAGGCAGATGTACTGAGATTAGCAAGAAATGAGAGGCAAAGATGTCCTGTAGCAAAGAGGGTCAGAAAAACTAAAAAGCAGACAGAAGATCTCAACAGGCACAAAGGTTTCAGCATTTAGTCTTGGGGTAAACTGTGTGATTCATTAATCCCCTAGGGAACTACTATATTAATGACATAGAACAATAACTATCATTTGTTTGTTGTCTCCAAGCAAACAAGAAATGTTATGTTATATTGATTCAATCCATCTAAAATACAAAAATAATAGCCTCTACTTAAATGGTTTTAAATCCTCAGTTTTATGGAAAATTCCACTATTCAAAATGCTTCATTTCCTGAGGCCTCTTAGATAGCCAAGGTTTTTACTGTATTGCTATTATTTTTATGACCAAAGAGTTTTCACAACCCATAGTAGGTGATATTGGTGCTAACCAGATCAATCTTAAAGCCAGTTTGAGGCCTCCCCTGAATGCCTTCTGAGCACAAGGCAGCTGGGAAACCCAAGCCAGCCAAGCACCTCTAGCTGTTGAGAAGTCAGACAGGGCATGAGTCATTCTGAATACTGGCCTCTCTATTGAACTTCTCCTTAACAGAGTGGATTTTGATAGACTCTCCTCTCCTTCTCCTTCCTCTCCTTCTTGCAATTAGTAAGTTCCTGGTATGAAAGCACCTCCTGGCACATACAGGGAAGACATGTGAACAATCCGGAGAAGCCTGGACATTCCCTGATCACTTCCCAGGCAGGAAGCTCTTGAACATCTAATCCAAATCCTGCCTACAGCATAAAGTCCATTTCTTCTCATTACATTTGTAAGTCCCCTCAGCTAAGGGTGAGCTGGCAGGGAAGGGGAAGCTCATTATAGATGTGGTGGTTGTTCTCAATTGATTTTACTTATTTCTCTACATTTCCAAATCTTGAGTACATATCTTACTATTTTTTCTACCACTGTTCCCTTCTCAACAGTCAATGTTTTATTAAGGACTCACTTCTTGCATTAGTGAGAGTATCTGGAAGTAATTTTTTGGGTGTGTTTTACACATACATGCACATACACACAAACAAAAAAGGAAGAGATCAGTAAGTAGATTTGCACTTTAATCTTCAAAGCTATCTATACGTGGACTTGGCTGTCTATAGAGGTAGAGCATTCCCTATAACCAGGAGGTAAGATTCCTTCTGATCAGTAGTTGAAAGAACAGATAAAGTATTAGATGAGAGAAACCTCCTTGCTTAACTGCTGTGATGTTCTGTGATGCAATGAGATGCCCACCTTGAATAGAAATTGAGGCAGGAGCTGGAAGGAAAGATGCAAGCAGCATAGTTTTGCTGGGTTTATGGGTATCAAAGGCACACTAGTATTCAGAGAGCCCATCATTGGCAGTGCAGGGCAGCATCATTCTCATCATTGCAAACATTTATCCGGCAACAAGTGTGCCAGGCACTGTGTGAGTCCTCCTCACATCATACCTAACAGACGACTATTATTACGTTCATGTTAACTGAGGAGGAAATTGAAGCACAGAGAATTTAGGTTACCTATCATCACAAAGCTGGTAAGTAATGCAGACAAGACTCAAACCCAGGCTGCCTGACTCCAGAGCCAGTGCTCTTCACTGCCTCCATCATGCTGCTTCCCAAAAGGGCTATAATAACTAATTGCAGTTTTAGTATTTTATCTTTTAAAAAGAGAGCACAATCTCTTTCATCCTTACAGAAGACTCCTGAGGCCAGGAAGTTATCACTAAATGACAAATTGGGGACAGAGGGTCAGGAAGGAGGAGGACTTGTTTATCTCTAGCCAGTAGTCTGAAGCAGAGCCTCCTGGTGCTCTGCCCACATGTCCTCCTCTTGCTCCCACACTGCCTGGTTTCTCTACAACTCCTAAGCCAAGTATTTAGGCAGGAAGACAGCACCTTGTTAATCTTGTGCCTGCAAACTGGCCACTCATTCGTACACACCGAGGTCCCAGATATACCCTATTTATAGCCAGCAACTTCCCAGGTTTAAAAAAAAAAAAGGGGGGGGCGCGCCAGAAGGAAAAAGGGATTAAGAAAGATGATGCTCAGGCTGCAAACCTAGTAAAAATTTCTGATGCATCCTTTCCTTTCATCGCCTAAGTCTACCAACTCTCAAACCCTAGAAACAATAATAGATCCCCCATTTTACTGATGACAAAACTGAGGATTGAAAGTCCACATCATTGGTCTCCTTCCTGACCTGCCTCCCCTAACATATCTATCTTTTTCTCCCCTGACTGTGGTGGTAACTTCTTCAGTGGCATCTTTTGCCCCTCCCTTGCTGCATTGATCTCATTGGCACAGGATGCAGGACCATGCTTCCTGGATGGCTGTCTTATCATTCATGGCCCTCTCCTCCTCAAAGACTTTCAATAGCTCCCCGCTACTTACAGAATCAAATCCCCAACTCCCTAGTCTGCTCTTCAGTTTCTCCATGATTTGGCCACACCTATATTTTGACCTATTTTTATTACATTTACCTAAGCTCCAGTCACAGTAGTACCCAAGGAAAGAGCCTGAGTAAGTCCTAAGCCCACCCTCTTCATGATGATGATTCCTTCATGTGGAACCCCTTGCCACATGCCACTGTGCTTGAAACTGTGCTCAAATGCCACCCATCATGAAAAGTTCTCATTCACTCTCAGTCTAAATCTCTCCTCCTATGCCACCCTCATCCTCCGAGAGTCCACTTTGTATTCTAATCACGGTTTGAAAATGGCATGTTCCATTCTCTTAAGGAGTTTGTCACACTTGGGGCTGACTTTTGCTTTCTTATACCCTCTTCCCTCCCACCACCACAGTAGGTGCTAATAAATGCTTGTTGAATTGAATTAAATTGAGAGGTCATCTGGGGAATAAAAGTTAGAAATTTATCATAACTTGGACTCTGAGACGATGGAGAAGTTGAAGGACCAGTGACCTCTCTCTCTTCAGAACTCAATTATCTGCATAAGAACAAACGTCTCAGATATCTAGCTATTAATTTGCTCACAATCATCTCAGTCTCCAAAGTTCACAAATGTCCCTTTCAATTTCTCAGCCACATCATTCACAGGAAATGAGATTCTCTTTTCATTCACTGAATCAGGGTGGCCCTTGTACCAATCTCCCTTCCACCACGGTACCCCCCAAAGCTCCTATGTGTTCTTATTCTTTTCCAGTTTGCCACAATTAACCACCCGAGCATCAAAATGCCCAATACCACTACTTTCTTGGGGCCTGTTCAGGGACCAACACTTCCTGCTTAGCATCATAAATCAATAGCTGGAGACCACAGGTTTTATTGGCATCCCAAGTCAAAGAAATCTATTCTAATTAATCCTCCACACAAAAATGATAGCCTTCAGCCATCTTACAGGCAGGAGCCAACAAACCTAGAGTGAAAGAAAAGATGCAGGCCCAGCTTCTCATGAAATCAATACGACCTCACTCTGAGCTCTGTTCTGGGTCACATAGAAGAGGCAGCATGTGTGGCTGAGATCACTGCAGAAGTCCCTGCCATTAATCTGACAGCTAGGATGAGCAGAGCCCAGGAGCCCTGTTGCACCACAGACCGAGAGGACTAAGAGCCAGCCCCTTTAGAGGCCTTTAACCCTTTGATACACATTTATTCACTATTAACAGAGATTTATTAAGGCTGGTGTAAAAGTAATTGCAGTTTTTGCTATTAAAAGTAATGGGAAAAAAACACAATTACTTTTGCATCAACCTAATACATAAATCATGTGTTTCCGTGTGCTTAGCATGCACACATCAAGCAGGAAATGGAGAAATCTGGGACTGAATGAGACAATAGGAGAGAAGACACATTATTATCAATGCTGTTCTGCTACAGGGTAGTTGGACCGTCCAATGTTCAGTGATCAGCACATTGTGCAGCTTCAGGGATGGCTCAGCCCATCCCTGATGAGGGAGTGGAGTGGGACTCCTAGCAGGGCCTTCATCATTATGGCTGATGAAGAATTAGGAGGCTGGCAATGCCCACAGTCAGTGGGGAAGTGATGCTGTTGTCTCAGGTGGCTCATTACATAGAAAGAGGTTGTGAAGCATGTGTTTGGAGCCTCACATACCTGGTTTTAAGTCACTCCTTTCTACCTAGATGACTGTAAGCAAGTTACTCAACTTCTGAGTTTGTTTCCTCTTCTGGATGATTGGGGAAACAGTGGCAGTACTTAGTTAGCCAGCTTGTGAAACTGTATTCCAGGTGGAACAGTGAGTAAAATACTGTGATGTGTTTTTCCCCTTCAATCCCCTAAGTCCAAGGTCTAGGTCAAAACATTTGAAGCCTCCTGAAAATGAGAAGTATAACAACAAACTCAGAAAAAAATGACACTAAAATTTCCTCACTTTTAGCTTTGTTTCAAGAACAATACAGGAAAGACTAGGAAGAATGCAAATCAACACACACACCCCTCCACCCTACCACGAAGTTACAATGTTCTCCCAGCTCGGTGGGGAGAAAACTGTTGAAAGAAAAGGAAAGACTTCAGACACTTATAACGGGCCCTATGCCCCTTTCCTTACCACCCTTCTCGTCTCCCAATTTCTCTGGAGTTCTGGGAGGACAGAAAACCCCTCATATCAACCTCTATGCCATTCTGAGGGCAGCAGAAATGAGAAAGCCACATGCAGTGAAAGACAGGACCAAGTGACAGCCCAGCATGGTCCCACCAGCCAAGCACCACGGGTACTGACGACAAAGCCCAGGTCGTGGCAAATATGCCTGTCTGAGGATGCCGCCATCTTGCCACATCAACTCCAGGGGAAAGGAAGGAAAGAGGGAAATCCTGAATTTGTCTGAGTTTAAGCCTGTAAGTCCCAAATAACTGAAATGACTGAGTTCCTCTGGCAGTAATGAGAATCCATGTTATGCCTTCTGATGGAATAGACTTCAAGAAGGAAAGTAGATTCAGTTTTAGGAAAATAAAGTTATGTTCTTGTAACCTGAGTTCATGGCATATATGCCTATACATTTATATATACACATATATTTAAAATAATGGTAAAATAAAATAATAAATGTAATGAATTTATTGACATGCATTGAACGTTTCCTGTGTGCCAGGCACTGTTCCCACTGCTTTATATAGGTAACATCATTTGTTTCTCACAGTTGAAGACCTGTGAGTTTGTATGATTATCCTCCTCTGGAGAATAAATGAGCTGAAGCACAGAGAGGTTCGATCACCTGCCCAGGGCTGTATCATAGAAGTGGAGAGTTCAGAATATAAACTCAGCCCATCTGGTTGCAGAGCCCATGCCTTTCATCACTCTGGCTATCTCGCTTCTACATGTAGCCTTCAACCTATTATAGCATGTTGACTTGTAATTTATTGAGTGCTGAGTGTGAGCTGGACACTATACTAAAAGCATTACTCTTATGACATTTTTACTCTTTATAATAACCCCAGGAGAAAAGTTTTATTATCTTTTTTAAAATTTATCTAGTCATCCAGAAACATATTACCTTAAAAAAAAAAAAAAAAAAAAAAAGATAAGGAAGCTCACACTCTGAAACCAAATGTATCTGGCTCCAAAAAGTGAAATGTGCTCTCAACCCCTTCCTACACACTTCAATATAAACACATGTAGATGTAGAGGGCTGAGCTCACCATCAGGTTTACAGTAAGGGTGCCACATATGGAGCTGCCTATATGAGAGTCATGATGATACAAATATGACATGAGTTCTTGGAAATTCCACATCCAATGGCAAGGCCAGAGGGAAGGAATAGATAAGAATTAGGGTCAAGTCCCACAGAGAAGAGGCCTGGTAAGAATTAGCTGGGTATCCAGTCATGCATAGAGAGTTCCAAGACAGGCTCAGGCCCTGGCAGGCAGTCAGAGTGCTTTGCAGATGCAGTAAATCCTGGGTGAGGAGGAAACATCAACATTCAGAGCTCACCTGAAGGTCTATAGCCAACAGGACTTGACTCAAGGAACCGTGGCATGGTGGACTTGAGGTTTCTGGCTACAGCCCAATCCAGACAACTCAGGGCAGTGGCACTACTGATGCTGAAAGCACGGGACATCAGTGGGACTCATTTCACAGATAAGAAAATTGAGGTTCAGAGAATGTAAATAATTAACATGGTCATGCAACTGGTAAATGGCAGACATACAGACACAAACTTGGCTCTCTCTGACTCCAAACTCTATGCTTTTTCTTACCCCTGCATTTTTCCAAAGCAGAGTAAATGCTGTTTATGGCATGACTCAAAGAAAGGGGAGTAAAGGTACACTCTGCCATTCTCTTGTCACTCAAAAGGCCCATCTCTGTGATCAGCAAATATTTTAAGTAGTCTGGGCTCGCCTACCTCCAGATCATGCTGAAGTCAGATCTCAGATCTCCCTCCCCCTCCCCAACAAGGGATTAGCTAAAGAAATAAAGTCCCATTTCACAAGCTGCTAAACCCTGTTTGATCAGTCCTGCCAGGGATTTCCTGGGTTTAATCACCTGCTAGCTCTGCATGGTGGGAAAGTTGTTGGGCTATGACTTTGTTTTGCCTGTCCTTCTCCCTGATGTGATTCCACTCCTGCGTATACTCCCCAAGGTTTGCACAAGAATGCTCACTGCTGCAGGGCTCACGGTAGAAAAAAAGAAAAAGAAAAACCCATCAATCAGAGATAGATGAATAAAACACTATATGGCGGATAAAATGAATATATACTAGATCTACACATACCAGTGTGAATAAATCTCAAAAATAATGTTCAATGCAAAAGGGAGACTGCAAAAGGATATGTATAGTAGGGCAGTATTTCTATAAAGTTTACAAATATGCAAAGCAATACTATGCATTGAATAGAGACTTGAACATGCAAAAAATTCATAAAGTCGTACATGAAAATGATAACCTACATTTAGGATGGTGATGAACTCCAAGGAAGAAAAGGAGGGAATGAAATTGAGAAGAGGTCCCCAGAGTGATTTGAATCTATTTGTAATCCATTACTGTTTATTTAAAAAGCATTAAACAAATATAGCAAAATGTTAAATCTGTTAAAGGTCAATTGGGGGTACATATGTACTCATGTTATTATTCTTTATGTTTGAAATATATTATTATAAAAAAAATTTTTAAAAAAAGAATGGGGTTGGCCGGGCGCAGTGGCTCATGCCTGTAATCCCAACACTTTGGGAGGCTGAGGTGGGCAGATCACGAGGTCAGGAGATCGAGACCATCCTGGCTAACATGGTGAAACCCCGTCTCCACTAAAAATACAAAAAAATTAGCCAGGCATGGTGGTGGGTGCCTGTAGTCCCAGCTACTCGGGAGGCTGAGGCAGGAGAATGGTGTGAACCTGGGAGGCAGAGCTTGCAGTGAGCCGAGATCACGCCACTGGACTCCAACCTGGGCGACAGAGAGAGACTCCATCTCAAAAAAGAAAAAAAAAAAAAGAATGGGATTAAATCTTCAGTGTTTATAATAAGGATCGTGGACTCTAGTTTGAAAGTAATGAAGGTTTTTTGTGCAAGGAGAGATGTGATCAAACAGCCCTGCATAGACAGGGAGATGCTAACATGGAATTATGAAGGCCTGGTCAGTGCCATAGCATAGTGTAAACAAAAAAAAAAAGGGCAGACTGCAAATCCCCCTGTAGTGCCTGATGGTGAAAGTATGACCGAGATCAGCCCTTCCCATCTCCCATCCCCACCTCTGAGAAATCTATCCTCCTCTTTGCACCATTCCAATGGCATCCTTCCACCCAGGGCTGTAAACTTCCCATGGCAGCAAGCTGGGCCAATCCTGACATTTCACCACCAAGCTCTATACTGATTGGTCCAAGAATGGGCAATAGCCCAAAGCTCAGCCAACCAGAGACAATCCTTTTCCTGGGCTGCCTTCTTTGAATGAGAACCAAAAGAAGATGATCCTTTCCTCTGGTGGTGGAACTTAAAAATGGGTGCAACGCTCTATGTGGCCCTGTTTCCCACCCAAAAGAAAAGCTAGTCAGGGGTGGTAGAGAATAAAGCCTCCCCACAGAGGGTAGCTGTGCTAAGAGATTCCTGGACCATGATGAGTTCCAGTTCTGGGTGCCCCCTACAACACTCTTGTCTTGTGTGAGTATAAGCTGCAGAGCCTGTGCCCAGCAGTGCTACCATGGCATCCATTCTGGACCAGTTCTGCTGTGTGACTTTGGCCACTGATCCACAGCCTCCTGGTTCTCTGGTGCTCCAGGACACTCTGAGCTACCCAACTCCATCTAATTAAATCCTTTGCCACTTTACTGCTTAAATTAACAAGCACTGGTTTCTGTTGTTTACAACTAAGAATGCTGATGCTAAGAGGTAATACCACCACTGTTCTCCCAGGAGACCCCAGAAAGAAGATATCTCAAAACAATGCTAAGCCAATCAGGGCTGAGAATAATCAGGATCTCACTGTTTCCAAGGAGGACTCTTGTTCCCTGAGACCAAGCCACCTTTTCCAAGAAATACCTTCACAAGGTCATCCCTCTACAGAACATGGAACATCTCACCACCATTTCTGCAGGCAGCTCTTTCATATTTACAAAGCCTGTTTATGTCTGCTGTGTCATTTTATCCTCAGAGCAACTCTGGGCAATGAGCAGGGCAGGCCTGAGACTGTAAGTCTCATTTAATTGAAGAGGAAGCCAAATTTTGGAGAAATGACGTCTCTGAGTCGCGCGGAAACTTGACAGCTGTGCCTGGAACAGAATCCAGGCCTCCTGATGCCATCCCAATATGCTTAAAAGGAAATAAGAATTAATAGCTAAGAAAATCAACATTACTAATACTTTCAGGGCACTTATTATATGCCAGACATTGCTCTAAGTGTTTTACATGCATTAACTCATTTAGTTCTTCTCACAGCCCTATGAGGTGGGTGCTACTGTGGCTTTCATTTTACAGATAAGGGAACTAAGGTACAGAGAGTTTAAGGTACTTACCTGAGGTCACACAGCAGGTAAGTGGCAGAGCTATGGCTCAAACCAGAATTCATACTCTCAATCACTACACTAAATAGGGCAGGAGAAGCAGTCTTTCTGGGGTCCAGGTTCCTTGGCCCTCACCCTCCTTGGAATGAGAGGAAGTTCTAGAAGTTTGGGCTGTGAGTACACCCTGATCCCACACAGCTTAGGCTGATCTAAATGCAGGTGCTTCACGCTAAAAGCCTGGAAGGGAAGTGTGCTAACAGAGCAGGTGCTGAATTGCAGAAAAGTTAAATATGGAATGGGAACATCGAAGGCTGCAATAAGAGCAAGGAGGGTAAAAACCAATTTCAAAACAGAGCCCTAGGCAATGATTTGGAGAGAAAAACTAATATATGTGATATCACATAATAACTGTACAATGCCTTCCATTTACCTCACCCTTTCCTTTGGAGGAAGCCTAAGAAGTTCACAATTGCTATTACAATTCTTCCTTCTTGAAGTTCGTGACCTGCTGAGGATGGCTGTGGCCTTTGTCCTTATATGCAGGGAAAAAAGAAAGCACCAAAAGGTCAATGCAGAAATCACGGAGTGGCAAAGTATCTATCAAAGCCAACTGTCTGGGCTCGAAAGCTGATAGACAGAAGCTAGTACAGTGAAAATCAATTCAGCAAAGGATTGTTCATATAAAACTGTCAGACAAATACCCAAATTCACTCTAGGAGAACTGCCCACTGCCATTTTACCTCCAGGATAGAGGCAGGAGAAGGAGATAGAGGGGAACAAGCAGGATGAAGACAAGGGGCAGAAGATAAACAGCAAGAATGGGCCATATGTGACAAAATTAAGAGACAACAAAGTTCTGGTCAGACAAAGCTCATTCATTCACAGATAAAGCCATGAGCAAGCCAAGATAACATATCCTCAGGGAATTAATGACTCGCTCATCTGGCAAATCCATCATTCGGCATACTGGCTGTCATCCAACTTGGCTGGAGGCCCCACCGGGGTCCCCTCTACAGTATAGAGAAAAGCAGAGGAACTGTCACTAACCCTCCCTCCTTTCTTTCTCCACCAGCTTTGCCTTGGACAACAAATAGTCCGTGCCTTCTTCCCACCAAACCAGCTCTCTGGAAATGATCTGTTCATTGTTATTACCCAGCCCTAGTATTATTTATTTTTCTCTTTTTACTCATTTTATACCCAGCCAAATAGGACTATCCACTCCTCTTCATATGATCTCTATGTCCCCATCCTGACACCTTTATTCATGTCGTTCCTTATATCTGCAATGACTTCTCTCATCCTCTTGGATAATTGATCCGTTACAGCGTACAAACTAAGTTACCAAAGGAATTCAATTTACGTGACAGTTGCACAATTCTGTAATATAATAATAATCATTGAATTTCATACTTAAAGTGGATGAATTTTATAAGTAAATTATATCTCAGTAAAGCTTTTCTTTTAAGTCACCTAAGGGTTGTAAGTGTCCACCATGTAATTTTGTTTTTTTTTTTTTTTTTTTTTTTTTTTTTTATTATACTCTAAGTTTTAGGGTACATGTGCACATTGTGCAGGTTAGTTACATATGTATACATGTGCCATGCTGGTGCGCTGCACCCACTAATGTGTCATCTAGCATTAGGTATATCTCCCAATGCTATCCCTCCCCCCTCCCCCGACCCCACCACAGTCCCCAGAGTGTGATATTCCCCTTCCTGTGTCCATGTGATCTCATTGTTCAATTCCCACCTATGAGTGAGAATATGCGGTGTTTGGTTTTTTGTTCTTGCGATAGTTTACTGAGAATGATGGTTTCCAATTTCATCCATGTCCCTACAAAGGATATGAACTCATCATTTTTTATGGCTGCATAGTATTCCATGGTGTATATGTGCCACATTTTCTTAATCCAGTCTATCATTGTTGGACATTTGGGTTGGTTCCAAGTCTTTGCTATTGTGAATAGTGCCGCAATAAACATACGTGTGCATGTGTCTTTATAGCAGCATGATTTATACTCATTTGGGTATATACCCAGTAATGGGATGGCTGGGTCAAATGGTATTTCTAGTTCTAGATCCCTGAGGAATCACCACACTGACTTCCACAATGGTTGAACTAGTTTACAGTCCCACCAACAGTGTAAAAGTGTTCCTATTTCTCCACATCCTCTCCAGCACCTGTTGTTTCCTGACTTTTTAATGATTGCCATTCTAACTGGTGTGAGATGATATCTCATAGTGGTTTTGATTTGCATTTCTCTGATGGCCAGTGATGATGAGCATTTTTTCATGTGTTTTTTGGCTGCATAAATGTCTTCTTTTGAGAAGTGTCTGTTCATGTCCTTCGCCCACTTTTTGATGGGGTTGTTTGTTTTTTTCTTGTAAATTTGTTTGAGTTCATTGTAGATTCTGGATATTAGCCCTTTGTCAGATGAGTAGGTTGCGAAAATTTTCTCCCATGTTGTAGGTTGCCTGTTCACTCTGATGGTAGTTTCTTTTGCTGTGCAGAAGCTCTTTAGTTTAATTAGATCCCATTTGTCAATTTTGGCTTTTGTTGCCATTGCTTTTGGTGTTTTGGACATGAAGTCCTTGCCCACGCCTATGTCCTGAATGGTAATGCCTAGGTTTTCTTCTAGGGTTTTTATGGTTTTAGGTTTAACGTTTAAATCTTTAATCCATCTTGAATTGATTTTTGTATAAGGTGTAAGGAAGGGATCCAGTTTCAGCTTTCTACATATGGCTAGCCAGTTTTCCCAGCACCATTTATTAAATAGGGAATCCTTTCCCCATTGCTTGTTTTTCTCAGGTTTGTCAAAGATCAGATAGTTGTAGATATGCGGCATTATTTCTGAGGGCTCTGTTCTGTTCCATTGATCTATATCTCTGTTTTGGTACCAGTACCATGCTGTTTTGGTTACTGTAGCCTTGTAGTATAGTTTGAAGTCAGGTAGTGTGATGCCTCCAGCTTTGTTCTTTTGGCTTAGGATTGACTTGGCAATGCGGGCTCTTTTTTGGTTCCATATGAACTTTAAAGTAGTTTTTTCCAATTCTGTGAAGAAAGTCATTGGTAGCTTGATGGGGATGGCATTGAATCTGTAAATTACCTTGGGCAGTATGGCCATTTTCACGATATTGATTCTTCCTACCCATGAGCATGGAATGTTCTTCCATTTGTTTGTGTCCTCTTTTATTTCCTTGAGCAGTGGTTTGTAGTTCTCCTTGAAGAGGTCCTTCACATCCCTTGTAAGTTGGATTCCTAGGTATTTTATTCTCTTTGAAGCAATTGTGAATGGGAGTTCACCCATGATTTGGCTCTCTGTTTGTCTGTTGTTGGTGTATAAGAATGCTTGTGATTTTTGTACATTGATTTTGTATCCTGAGACTTTGCTGAAGTTGCTTATCAGCTTAAGGAGATTTTGGGCTGAGACGATGGGGTTTTCTAGATAAACAATCATGTCGTCTGCAAACAGGGACAATTTGACTTCCTCTTTTCCTAATTGAATACCCTTTATTTCCTTCTCCTGCCTGATTGCCCTGGCCAGAACTTCCAACACTATGTTGAATAGGAGCGGTGAGAGAGGGCATCCCTGTCTTGTGCCAGTTTTCAAAGGGAATGCTTCCAGTTTTTGCCCATTCAGTATGATATTGGCTGTGGGTTTGTCATAGATAGCTCTTATTATTTTGAAATACGTCCCATCAATACCTAATTTATTGAGAGTTTTTAGCATGAAGGGTTGTTGAATTTTGTCAAAGGCTTTTTCTGCATCTATTGAGATAATCATGTGGTTTTTGTCTTTGGCTCTGTTTATATGCTGGATTACATTTATTGATTTGCGTATATTGAACCAGCCTTGCATCCCAGGGATGAAGCCCACTTGATCATGGTGGATAAGCTTTTTGATGTGCTGCTGGATTCGGTTTGCCAGTATTTTATTGAGGATTTTTGCATCAATGTTCATCAAGGATATTGGTCTAAAATTCTCTTTTTTGGTTGTGTCTCTGCCCGGCTTTGGTATCAGAATGATGCTGGCCTCATAAAATGAGTTAGGGAGGATTCCCTCTTTTTCTATTGATTGGAATAGTTTCAGAAGGAATGGTACCAGTTCCTCCTTGTACCTCTGGTAGAATTCGGCTGTGAATCCATCTGGTCCTGGACTCTTTTTTGTTGGTAAACTATTGATTATTGCCACAATTTCAGAGCCTGTTATTGGTCTATTCAGAGATTCAACTTCTTCCTGGTTTAGTCTTGGGAGAGTGTATGTGTCGAGGAATGTATCCATTTCTTCTAGATTTTCTAGTTTATTTGCGTAGAGGTGTTTGTAGTATTCTCTGATGGTAGTTTGTATTGCTGTGGGATCGGTGGTGATATCCCCTTTATCATTTTTTATTGTGTCTATTTGATTCTTCTCTCTTTTTTTCTTTATTAGTCTTGCTAGCGGTCTATCAATTTTGTTGATCCTTTCGAAAAACCAGCTCCTGGATTCATTGATTTTTTGAAGGGTTTTTTGTGTCTCTATTTCCTTCAGTTCTGCTCTGATTTTAGTTATTTCTTGCCTTCTGCTAGCTTTTGAATGTGTTTGCTCTTGCTTTTCTAGTTCTTTTAATTGTGATGTTAGGGTGTCAATTTTGGATCTTTCCTGCTTTCTCTTGTAGGCATTTAGTGCTATAAATTTCCCTCTACACACTGCTTTGAATGCGTCACAGAGATTCTGGTATGTGGTGTCTTTGTTCTCGTTGGTTTCAAAGAACATCTTTATTTCTGCCTTCATTTCGTTATGTACCCAGTAGTCATTCAGGAGCAGGTTGTTCAGTTTCCATGTAGTTGAGCGGCTTTGAGTGAGATTCTTAATCCTGAGTTCTAGTTTGATTGCACTGTGGTCTGAGAGATAGTTTGTTATAATTTCTGTTCTTTTACATTTGCTGAGGAGAGCTTTACTTCCAACTATGTGGTCAATTTTGGAATAGGTGTGGTGTGGTGCTGAAAAAAATGTATATTCTGTTGATTTGGGGTGGAGAGTTCTGTAGATGTCTATTAGGTCTGCTTGGTGCAGAGCTGAGTTCAATTCCTGGGTATCCTTGTTGACTTTCTGTCTCGTTGATCTGTCTAATGTTGACAGTGGGGTGTTAAAGTCTCCCATTATTAATGTGTGGGAGTCTAAGTCTCTTTGTAGGTCACTCAGGACTTGCTTTATGAATCTGGGTGCTCCTGTATTGGGTGCATAAATATTTAGGATAGTTAGCTCCTCTTGTTGAATTGATCCCTTTACCATTATGTAATGGCCTTCTTTGTCTCTTTTGATCTTTGTTGGTTTAAAGTCTGTTTTATCAGAGACTAGGATTGCAACCCCTGCCTTTTTTTGTTTTCCATTGGCTTGGTAGATCTTCCTCCATCCTTTTATTTTGAGCCTATGTGTGTCTCTGCACGTGAGATGGGTTTCCTGAATACAGCACACTGATGGGTCTTGACTCTTTATCCAACTTGCCAGTCTGTGTCTTTTAATTGCAGAATTTAGTCCATTTATATTTAAAGTTAATATTGTTATGTGTGAATTTGATCCTGTCATTATGATGTTAGCTGGTGATTTTGCTCATTAGTTGATGCAGTTTCTTCCTAGTCTCGATGGTCTTTACATTTTGGCATGATTTTGCAGTGGCTGGTACCGGTTGTTCCTTTCCATGTTTAGCGCTTCCTTCAGGAGCTCTTTTAGGGCAGGCCTGGTGGTGACAAAATCTCTCATCATTTGCTTGTCTGTAAAGTATTTTATTTCTCCTTCACTTATGAAGCTTAGTTTGGCTGGATATGAAATTCTGGGTTGAAAATTCTTTTCTTTAAGAATGTTGAATATTGGCCCCCACTCTCTTCTGGCTTGTAGGGTTTCTGCCGAGAGATCCGCTGTTAGTCTGATGGGCTTTCCTTTGAGGGTAACCCGACCTTTCTCTCTGGCTGCCCTTAACATTTTTTCCTTCATTTCAACTTTGGTGAATCTGACAATTATGTGTCTTGGAGTTGCTCTTCTCGAGGAGTATCTTTGTGGCGTTCTCTGTATTTCCTGAATCTGAACGTTGGCCTGCCTTGCTAGATTGGGGAAGTTCTCCTGGATAATATCCTGCAGAGTGTTTTCCAACTTGGTTCCATTCTCCCCATCACTTTCAGGTACACCAATCAGACGTAGATTTGGTCTTTTCACATAGTCCCATATTTCTTGGAGGCTTTGCTCATTTCTTTTTATTCTTTTTTCTCTAAACTTCCCTTCTCGCTTCATTTCATTCATTTCATCTTCCATTGCTGATACCCTTTCTTCCAGTTGATCGCATCGGCTCCTGAGGCTTCTGCATTCTTCACGTAGTTCTCGAGCCTTGGTTTTCAGCTCCATCAGCTCCTTTAAGCACTTCTCTGTATTGGTTATTCTAGTTATACATTCTTCTAAATTTTTTTCAAAGTTTTCAACTTCTTTGCCTTTGGTTTGAATGTCCTCCCGTAGCTCAGAGTAATTTGATCGTCTGAAGCCTTCTTCTCTCAGCTCGTCAAAATCATTCTCCATCCAGCTTTGTTCTGTTGCTGGTGAGGAACTGCATTCCTTTGGAGGAGGAGAGGCACTCTGCGTTTTAGAGTTTCCAGTTTTTCTGTTCTGTTTTTTCCCCATCTTTGTGGTTTTATCTACTTTTGGTCTTTGATGATGGTGATGTACAGATGGGTTTTCGGTGTAGATGTCCTTTCTGGTTGTTAGTTTTCCTTCTAACAGACAGGACCCTCAGCTGGAGGTCTGTTGGAATACCCTGCCGTGTGAGGTGTCAGTGTGCCCCTGCTGGGGGGTGCCTCCCAATTAGGCTGCTCGGGGGTCAGGGGTCAGGGACCCACTTGAGGAGGCAGTCTGCCCGTTCTCAGATCTCCAGCTGCGTGCTGGGAGAACCACTGCTCTCTTCAAAGCTGTCAGACAGGGACATTTAAGTCTGCAGAGGTTACTGCTGTCTTTTTGTTTGTCTGTGCCCTGCCCCCAGAGGTGGAGCCTACAGAGGCAGGCAGGCCTCCTTGAGCTGTGGTGGGCTCCACCCAGTTCGAGCTTCCCGGCTGCTTTGTTTACCTAAGCAAGCCTGGGCTATGGCGGGCGCCCCTCCCCCAGCCTCGTTGCCGCCTGGCAGTTTGATCTCAGACTGCTGTGCTAGCAATCAGCGAGATTCCGTGGGCGTAGGACCCTCTGAGCCAGGTGTGGGATATAGTCTCGTGGTGCGCCGTTTCTTAAGCCGGTCTGAAAAGCGCAATATTCGGGTGGGAGTGACCCGATTTTCCAGGTGCGTCCGTCACCCCTTTCTTTGACTCGGAAAGGGAACTCCCTGACCCCTTGCGCTTCCCAGGTGAGGCAATGCCTCGCCCTGCTTCGGCTCGCGCACGGTGCGCGCACACACTGGCCTGCGCCCACTGTCTGGCACTCCCTAGTGAGATGAACCTGGTACCTCAGATGGAAATGCAGAAATCACCCGTCTTCTGCGTCGCTCACGCTGGGAGCTGTAGACCGGAGCTCCACCATGTAATTTTGAAGACCACACTATCTAATTTTGAAGACCACACTATCTAAAGGCTATATGATGGAAATGTCACGAGAATTTCTAAGAGACACAAAAAATATTTTTTAAATGTTCAGATGACATGTGATGCTTCTGCAAAAGAAATAGCTTTATCCAAAGCAAATTATTTGCAAAGATAGAGCTTCTCATGCCTTGCTCCTGAAACAGAAGTGATACCCACAACTCAGTTAGGTATACATTTTAAAAAGAAAATGGTTTTGGAAAAGAATTGCTTTCAGTCCAGACCCCAAGATTTACTAGCTGTGTGACTTTGGACAAATGAATTACTTTTTCCTAACCTATAAAGTAGGCATAATAGCATCTATCTAAGTTAAGAGAATTACATCAAGGATGTTTATAAAGCACCCAGCCCAATGCTTGGCATAATGCAAGCCGAGAAACACTGCAAAGGTATTCTATGTTTGCTCTCTTCCCTCCTTCCCTGGTAACTAGAGTCAGAATAAGCATGAAGTGAATGAAATAGGTAAAGGCAGTCCCCAGTTTTGCCACTTCCCATTTCTTTCTGGTCTATATCTTTTACATTCTGTCTAGAGATACTTCCAGTTCTCTCTACCTTTCCCAAATCAGCTTTATTATTCCGAAGTTTCTTCTGTGTCAAAACAGGCAAAAGCAAATGATATATGAAATTTTTATTTACCAAACATGTGTTGCACATCAAATTCACCAAATACCTGTCAAGCATCTATCTGTGTACGTCCAGAGTGGTGCTTGGAACCAGGCTAGGAACACTCAGCACATGGCAGGTCAGGACTTCACTTTACCACAATCTCCTTTCAGACTCAGTCTCATGGAAAGCATCATAACTTGAAAGCAAGAATCGTCACTTTTCTTGCTCAGTTGGGTTACTCTTGAGGGTAGAAATTCACAGAAACAAACCAAACTTACATAATCAAACTAGATTATTTAAGCCTTTCCTGGGAAAGAGGAGCAGTCTTTTTTCTAATGCTTCATTCAGATATACACCAGAAAAACAATAGACTGGCAGTCTGGAATTCTAAGTCCTATCTTGCACCTATTGTTAATAATCATGTAATTTTCAGCAAGTCCCTTTTTCTCTCTAAACCTCAGATTTCTCATCTGCAAAATGGGAATTTAGAATGGGATCTGGATAGCTCTGGGTCTTATACTGGGTTGAATAGTGTACCCCCCAAAATGTCTGTTCACCTGGGATAAATGTGCAAATGTAATCAAGTTAAGATGAGGGTAAACTAGGGTGGATTTCTGCAACACAAGGCTTGGGAGGAAAAGCAGGGATGCAGACCTTGCTGATGCTAGAGGCCCAGTGCTACTGAGAGTGGTCTGTGTTGGGGGGCTGTACTCAAGCTGTGAATTATTGATCTGTGGGGAGCTAGGCACAGTAATGGATTACAAATAGATTCAAATCACTCTGGGGACCTCTTCTCAATTTCAATCCCTCTTTTTCTTCCCTGGAGTTCATCACCATCCTAAATGTAGATTATCATTTTCATGTATGATTTTACGAATTTTTGGCATGTTCAAGTCTCTATTCAATTGAACTAGGGTGGATTCTAATCCTGTAACTGGTATCCTAATAAAAGGAAGCAAATTTGGGCACAGACAAATAGGGAAAGAGGCCACATGAAGACAGAGGCAGAGCCTGGAGTAATGCACCTACAAGCCAAGGAACACCAAGTGTTGATGTCAACCAACAGAAACTCAGAGGCAAAAAAGAATTCTTTCCTAGACCTTTTGGAGAGGGCATGGCCCTGCTAACACCTCAATTTTGGACTTCTAGTTGCCAGCACTGTGAAAGGAAAAGGGTTTGCTGCTTTAAGCCATTCAGTTTGTGGTACTTTATTAAAGCAGTCCAAGGAAACTAATGTAAGTCTCCTTAGATTACATGCTAACTCCAGCTGATCAGTAGTATCTGCTTGGAGTGGTGTGTTGAGAAGGATTCTGAGGCTACATAGAATATGGGGATCAATTCTTGATATCTGCCTGAAAGAGAAAAGGAAGTAATGGCAAGGATGCCTTGTTTTTGCCATTCCTAAGCTATAGATAATCATTAAGATGTCTTTATGCACTGATAATACATAATTCTATCATATTAAATCCGCATGCCCTGACAGGAGTAAAGGCATTGTGAATAGGAGAAGTGTGGACAGAGGGTCATGCCTTCCACCTAACCACTGCCTCTGACTTCTACCAGATAGGACCAGTACCCTTCTATTGTGGCAATGACCTGTGATTCTGTCACCCTCTTGGCTTTGCCTTCAGCAAAACAGATCTGAGATTAAATTGACAAAGACCTGAATCCATTTTCCAACTGCCACTAGGTAAAGAGTATGACCAGAGCAAATTTGATTTATTGCAGCAATGTGGCTGATAAATGAAATATCTCAAATGCAGCAAAATTCACAGAAGGACCAGTACTTAACTGAGAAATATTTAAAAGAAGCCAGTCTTCTAGAGCCTTTTAGGGGCCCAGATAACACCAATAACAGCTCACTCAGGTGCACCCCACCATGTCTGCCTCTCCTCTGCCAAACTATCCTTGAAGCTTGGTTAGACTACTGCTAGACAGCACCTGGGATCCAAAACAAAGGTCAAAATGGTGATGCTTTGTTGGCAAGGACTGGAGTAGAGTTCCCTCTTCACACAAAGTAACCTATTTTTTGGGACATGGTCTTCCCCTACCATGGCAACTCAATCTACTGAGCTCTTCACTTGCCCACATGCCCCAGGAAGCACTAATCACATTATATATGAACCTGCAGGTTGTAGAGAGCTAGTGAGCACTGTCAAGGGTCAAACCTCTCCAATGCCCTTCTCTGGCCCAGCACCCAGCACTTGTGGACGAGTCATGGGTGGCAGCTCCCTGTTTCTTCCTTCACCCAGACAAGTGCTCCCAGCTCTCTTGCCCATTGAGGGAAAGAGAACCTTTCTTTCTGGGAAATGTTGGCCCCTCTGTACTGCCAGCAATAAAACTTTCTACTACCAACCCACCAGGCTCTCTCTAAATAAAGTCTTCTTTCCCGTTCTCTTTTGTCTGCCTTGACAAAAATTCCTGCCAAAGAAGTCAGTTCTGCCCAATCCTAAATCCATTCATGTTTCTCCATCCTTTCAGCCAGCTCCCTGGCCTAAGCTGCACCCTCCTCTCTCCAGACCCCCTAGGTTGGCCCCCTTGCTGCCTCCCGGCCTTCTGCTGTGCCCGCAACAGCCTTGCAAAACTGAGCATATGATTCTGTCATGCCCCCTATTCAAAATCATTCCACGGCTTCTGAATAAAGACCAAATTCTAGAGTAAACGACCAGGTTTCCTCGACCCCAATCCGTTGAAAACAATTGAAAAGTTGTAAAATAACAATGAATTGCTTGAAAATGAATTAAAAAGACATACAAAATACTAGCTTCAGCAGACATAAAGTTGCTCTGTCAAGTTGCACTAAAAGCTTATTCTCCATTCTGTGCCTAGCTCCCTACAGGTCTATAATTCACAGTTGGAGTGCGGCCCCCACACAGAGACCACTCTGAGTAGCACTGGGCCTCTAGGATCAGCAAGGTCGGCATCCCTGCTTGCCCTCCCAAGCCTTTTATTGCAGAAATTAACCCCCTCGCTCCCTTACTTTCCTCTGTTTCCTGCTACCTGCTTCCTTCTGACTCATGGCTTTTTAACATGCTGTTCCCTCTACTTGGAACTCTTGCTTTTCCTCAGGCCTTCATCCATCTAGTTAGCTTCAGCTCATCCTTTAGGTTTTAGCTCACGTTCTCAGGAAAGGTTGCTCACTCCTCACACACACACACACACCCCTACCCCTCCACTTTCCCCATTGCACACAGTCTTGGGGAGTTTCCATATTACTTGTTCTCACAGGATCACATCCTATTCCTTTGGCACAATTATCAAAGTTTATATAATTTTTTACCACGATTATTTGCTTAATATCTGTCTCTCCCTCCACTTTACAATCACGATGAGAGGAGGGACTGCCATCTCTCTCTGCTCTGCCCAGACTCCAGGCATTGGCACAGGGCTTGGGCACCTGGGAACATTCAATAACAATTTGGGGAGTGCAAAAACAAACTGACCCAGCTGCCTCTGGTTCATCTGTGCCATCCTTTTCCTCCATGCAGTGCAGTGCCTGCAACTTGCAGCAACTCATGTTGCTTGCCAATGCTTCATTTCTACAAACATTTCCCTTTGGTTCTTTGTGTCTGTGTGACATCCCCTCTGCATCCAACTGAGTTCACATACCCTACGCCTCCTCTCTACCCATCAGTTAGCTATCCCTTATGTTTATAGCTCTCTTTACAGTGCTAGCATTCTTTAAACAAACATTCATGTTCATCTGAATTTCACATTCCAAGCAGCAGATCACTTAGATACACGTTTTACCAAATGGGGTTTTGGCTACCTCTCCCAATCACACACGCCTTCTCAAACAGGCAGCTGTAGAGGACAAAACTGAATGCAATGTGATGCTTCCCTAATGGCAGGGTGCCAGGCATTGACAGCAGGCCAGGAGAGAGGAATTTCCAAGGGTGGCTACTTTGCTTGCCTGAGTCCTAATACAGAGGCACAGACTTATACTTTAAGAGACAATCCTAAGAGCTTATCTCACTTCAGATAAAACAGCTATAGCTATGAAGAAAACAACCATGAACTAAGAGAACAATAACACAGTGAGCCAGTGACTCAGTGTGTGGCTTGGCCAGGTTGCCTCCCCTCTCTGGGTCTTTTTTCCTCATGCATAAGATAAGGTTGATTCGGTGGCCTCTAAATCCCCAAATGAGACATTTCCCAAATCTGCAGAATACTATAATTTTCCAAACCACATATTAGATCTCAGTGTCCTCTCTAATCACTTTATTGATTCATTCAATAAATATTTATCAAGCATCTACTCAGTTATAGTCAGGGCTGGGGTTAGACAGATGAAGACAGATACAACCCCCATCCTTCTAGCTTTAGAGAGAAAGCAGATGCTAAATATATAATTAACTAACAACTACAATTAAGGCGATAAAGGGTAAGTTTAGGATTTCATGAGGGTTAGTTCTCATTAGATTGTGTAAGAAAAGGGGCTACTATCTTTGGAAAGTGACTTTTGAGAAGCAGTTTTTACATGTGTCTGAAGCCAAAGAGTTCTCAAATTATCTCACTTAGCCACACAATCAATACCTGTAAGGTTAAAAGGGATAGTATCATTGCCCCCTGTTTATACTGTTAGGATAGACTATTCCTTAGCACTCAAGGTCTGCCCCCACACCCACCCTTGCCACACCACACCTCTCTCAGGACAGCAAAACTCTCCTTCACTCATTTTGTCATAGGCTTCGTTTTCATGACTGTGTCTCCCTCACCTGAGTAAGTCCCATGACCCCAATGTCTGTTTTGTGCATTTCAGTATTCCTAGCATAGTCTTGGTACATATCTGGTGTTAAGAATATAGTTGAATGAATGAATGAATCCCCACAGATGAGGAACCCAAAGTCAAGACTTGGGCAATGTTTTCCCCAAGTCCTAAGTTAGCACATATCAAAGATGGGTCTCAAATGCAGACCTAAAGTTGAGGAGGGCAGGTGGACAAGGACATAAACCACAGTCTGTGTTCTACCCTCCTAGCCAAGCCTCACCCCCTCCAAGAAGCATCCCTTTATCTGTTGTATACAGAGTTCATTAAAAAAGAAAGGGTTATTCTGTTAAGTAAGAGTTAAAGATTTCTGCCCTACCCCTAGAAGGTTCTCATACAGAATACTTCACCCCCAACTCTATGGATATCCAAGTCAGGCTATACAGGAGTTGTTCCCACAAAGGAAGATTCAATCCCATATTCTCAAAGCTAGTTCTCATCAGTGGACAATCAAGAGGCCCACGGACCTCTTGATTAGTGGGCCTGAGCTGGAGACAGCAGGTTTTGTTTTGCCCAGCCAAGTAGTCAGCACTCCTAGCATCCACTCAGTGCTGCCCAACCTGGGGAGTGAAAGCTACAAAGTCAACTTGAGCTGCTTGGTAAAAATCCCATGTACCAGAAGATAAGACTGACAAAGAAGCAAAGTTAATCTTGGAGCTCTCAGCATGATCAGTGAACCAGCCTTTGCCTAGGAGTTACCGCAAGCAGAGCTGTGTGTTGAGTGTGATACAAGATAGAGGAACCAGTAAGCAAAAGGCTACCACCAGCCCTGTGGGAAATTCAGGTAGAGGCAGGTAATCCAGGCAGGGGTTCAGGCACAGGGCACCAGGCAGAGAAAAGTTTCAGAACCAAGTCTCCAAAGTAGGTGTGGGAATAGGTGCCATACCATGTCACTTTAGGGCCTGGGTTCATGTCATTTGAGCCTAAGAGTAGGTTTGGCCCTCACCATGAAGATGAAGCTGAGATCCAAAAGGATTTTCCAGGGTTGAGGGCAGGGCCACCTTATTTATTGATGTGTCTCCAACATCTGGCAGAGTATCTGGCTAGTGTGTACAGACTGAGTTTTTTTGAAAAAACAGAAGGAAGCAGGTCCTGGACGTCAACCCAGGAGTTGATCATTATGGTAATTTTGGCCATTATTAATTGAGCATTTACTAAGTGTCAGCACGGTGCTAAGTACTTCACACCCAGAATGATTCTGAGAGGAATGTATTACAATCCTCACCTGGCATTTGAGCAAATTATGGCTTAGCAATGTAAATAACTTGCATAAAGACACCAGGCCAAGAGATGGTGGAGCTGGGTTTCGACTTCAATTCTCTGATTTAAGCATCTGAGCTTTTAACTGTCATATTTTTCCGTCAACTCACTGAAATAAGTTACAACTAAGGAATGAGTAGCTTTTGTGTAGAAAGAGGAAAGAAAGGCTGCTTTTCCTAGGGATTCAAAAAGCACAGGACTAGATAGAAAATGGGAATGAATATAAGGAATTATCTCTGATTCAACTTCACCATTTCCTCCCAAAGAAGACTTCCCTGATTCTCCTTACAAAGTAAGGTTCCCCTGTAACACACTTTGAGCACCCCTCCATTCTTTGTAGCCCTTACTACCATTTTAACGAAACAAGCAACGGTGAATGGAGTTGTTTAAATGTTTGTCTCTCCTTATGGATCATAGGTCCATGAGGGAAGGTGCTGTGACTATCTTGCTCCTGCTGTACCCTAGTGTGCAATACAGTGCCTAGCATATAGTAGGGCTCAGTAAGTATTTGAACATGTGAGTTATATAACTGGTTGATAGATAATGGGATAAAAAGCATTCTAATGGCATATACTAAGGAGTAATAGGAGATGAAGACAAATGGAAAAAGATTAAGACGTTACTTGAAGACCCTGGAGAAAAGCCTCATGTTGATGTTGCAGGTAACAGGGAACTACTGTAGTCCCTTGAGCTTCTCTGAATAAGGAAGACTAATAATATTGAGATGAGAAATAAATCAGCTCAGGGAGAACTGATGCTCTACCCCGAATATTATGAATACTCCAAACAGGACCAGTGCTTGAGGTGGCAAGGGTCTCATGATGGTAGCAGTGAGAATGCAGAGGAAGACATAAATCAAGGGGACATATGGATGCAGGTTCTTCCCGGAACGTTTCTCATCAAAAGTTAATAAGCAGGTAGGGACATACATCTGGGTTGGTGGAAGACACAGGTGGCGATCAGACTTGGCCGGCTCTATAAACTCTCTTCCACCCATAGAAGATTACATTTTACTGAAACTCAGGTGATGTCAAAGAGGGACAGAAAATATATTCTGTTATCATTCGTTTCTAAGTCTTATGCATGACCAGCCAGGAGTAAAAAAGAATATGTTTCTTAAGGTTCTCAGAAGGCTCAGAGCCATTTCCCAATGAATCATTTACTTATCCACATCTCTAAACCTACAGTTCTAGATCATTGACTTTGGAGCAGGAGTACTCCTAGGGCAAGCCTCTAATCACCATACCCCTTTCACTCTTGAATCAAGAGGGAGCCATTTAAGCAGCAAGCCTTCCAGTTAAACTCTTAAGTTGCTTGCTTGTCATGCAGAAGACCTGGGTTCAAGTCCCAGCTTTGACATTTATTAGCAGTTAATCACCATGCACATTAGCTAGTGATATACAAAACACCACTTAGAGATCAATGAACTAGAGCAATGGTACAGAAACATGAATCGGGCCGGGTGCAGTGGCTCACACCTGTAGTCCCAGCATTTTAGGAGCCTAAGGCAGGAGAATCACTTGAAGCCAGGAGGTTGAGACCAGAAACATGAATTCTCTTTGAGGATTCTCATTCATTGGACAAATATTCATTGACCATCTATTAAGTGCCAGGTACTGTGCTGGGTGCTGGAAAACAGTGACGAGCAAAACAGAGAAAGACTAATCAGGAAAGACTGACATAAAATAAAAATATTGTATGTATATATAAAATTGCAACTCTACCATGTGCCATGAAGGAGAGGTTCAGGATAATGTGAAAGCCTATAAAAGAAGGATTTGAACTAGTTGTAGAGGTCAGGGAAGGCTTAATCTAAGATCTGCAGGAGGAGTAGGTGCGGTTTAGGTAGAAGATGGGATGGAAAAACCACTCCAGGCAGAGATACGACCATGAACAAAGCACCTATGATTGAAACATGGTGAGCAGGAAGTTCAATAAGATGATCAGTAAGTCTGAGCAGAGAAAACACAAGAGACAGCATAATGGAAAATGAGCCTCAGGGAGAGCCAGGGCCCAGATCCTGATAGGTCTTATAGGCCATGTCCTTGAACATGTTTTAATCCTAAAATGAAGGAGAAACCACTAAAGAGATATTCAGCTGTAAGACTGGGTAGTAGGGGCTGGACACAGGATCATTACCTACCCCAAAAAAATCCCTCTGACTGGCCTGAAAGAGGCTAGAGTAACTGTAGGGTAACTAGCCTGGAGACTGTTGTAGCAGTCTAGCCAAGAGATAGTGCCAGATTTGACCAGGGAGGTGCTGGGCATGGCAAGAAATGGATACATTCAGTGTATATCAAAGAGGCCAAACCTACAGAACTTTCTAATGGGCCACATCGGAAAAGGTGTTTAAGAATAGCCTCAGGCTTCTGGCCTGCACAACTGGCCAAACAGAGGGGCCATTCACTCCGAGATAGAAACCTGAACATGATTAGGTTTGGGAGTTGATTATAACTCCTGCTTTTCAACACAGCAATTTGCAGTGCCTTTGAAGCACCTAAGAAAAATGTTAATTAGGCAGTTATATACGCATATCTGGGGCTCAAAATACACATTTGGAAATTATTAGTGTATAATGAATTGAATTGAATCTAAAGGCAATAACAAGATTATACAAGAAGTGAGAAGTGAGGGCCTATGATTGGGTTTGCAGAATGCAAACCAATTCCTCTATTCAACTCTCATGCTTCAAGGGCTCTCCTTTTTAAAATAATAAAAGCAGTGATGATGATCAGCTTTATTTATTTGTCCTTACTATTAACTTACTCTTCCCTGTAATATGAAGATATGCCCAAGCACTCTTGTCTCCACTTTACAAATGTGGATATTAAGGCTTAGAAAATATTATATTTGCCCAAGCTCACACAGCTAGTAAACGGCTGATTTCAAGCCTAGATATATCTTATTTCAAAAATATTCCTCTTAGCTTGGCTTCTCTATATCCATCACAGTACTGACACAGAGAAATAACAAGCACTACTAAACCTAACAAATACAAGGCAGTGAGTTGAGCCAGTGGAAGGACCATCGAGGGTAATGGTAAAAGACACCAACTAAACTCCTACAACTAATGTCGCTGCAGCCCACATGCTCAGCCTCTGGTGAATGTCAGTGTCTCTGCCTTGTTTTCTCCCTACATTAGTCCCCTGGGCAATATGAAGAATGGCTGTAATGACTTCACCCCCATGCTGACCTATTATAAGAGACAACTTACACCAAACCCCATGAGAGCCCTTGTGATACAGCAGAGCGAATTTCCATCCAAATAGGGAACACTTACTCCTCTTTGGCACTGGGCAAGTTACTTAACCCATCTCTGAAAAACAGGAACAGTAACATGCTTGCACCCTGGACTATTTTCAGGATTAAATCATAGAATGCTTGAGAGGATGCCCTGAAAACTTACATCAATGATGAAATCAAACTTATATGTGGGAAATCTTGTCTCTCTAATGGATGACGTTGAGCCACTCAGATCTATTTCAAGCACCAAACCAGATTAGTGAAGAGAAAATGATTGGAAGCAGCAGGTAACAAACAGGATCTATGAGAAACGTTGTTTTGTTTTTTAAAGATTGACGTTAATTCACCTTAAAAAGAGGGATGAGAAGAAGTTGACCTAATAAATTATTTCTCCTGCCAGGAAAAAAAATAGGATGATAAATGTGAATAAAGCTTAGCCTTTTGTAAAAACTAGGAAGTGTGCCTTGGTGGCCCCAGATATCCCTCATCATCATCATTCTCACTCTCATTGCTATCACTGTGCCAGGTACTTGATAATAATTCCAGGAGTGGTCGTAAGAGTAATATCAGTAGCTAACATTTTATTGATTAGTTACCATGTGCCAGCCACTGTGGACTAAATGCTATATGTGCATTATCTCACTGAGTCTTTGTTGAGTGACAGGTATTGATCAGAGGAGGAATCTATTCCATTGAAGGAGAGGAAGATATCAGGGTTGGTCAATGAATTCAAGGGAGCATGTACAAGTCACTGAGATTGTATGATAAAATAAAGGGGTACTGTGGCAGAAACTGCACTAAATGTCTACATTTTAGAGACTCCAGAGAGAGATGGACAGAGTGGGATTTGGGCCAAGTAAAGTTATTCTTTCAACAAACCCACACTGTACACACTCCACTCTGAATCCCCATCTATCTTGAATGAATTACACAGTATTTCAAGCTCTCTTCCAGTGTTACCTAAAACAACCACCACTACCACCCAGCTAACACATAAATTCAGCCCTTAAAATCTCCCAGGCAGTGTGCTCAGTATTTTTAAGCATTCGTTTAATTACCTCAACTATGTAATAAGGTAGACTTATATGAATCTGTTCATTTTAAATATAATGAATCTGAGGTTCAACAAAGTTTAATAATTTGGTCAAGATCACACAACTGATAAATGTCAGAGCCTAAATTCACAGGCAAGGGTATTTGAGTCTATCATTCAGGATCTTAATCAGGACATTTATTCCAGTTTCTCATCCAATGTGGCTGGTCTGCCCTCATTCAGGAGGAGATGCTCCATCATAAGACATATGTGTGAGATGCTTCTTTTATTTTTTTTATTTTTTACTTTAATTTTTATTATACTTTAAATTCTGGGATATGTGTGCAGAATGTGCAGGTTTGTTACTGGATAAAACGGTGCTTCTGAAGAAGACATTTTCTTCCTGAGGTTTGGATGAAAGTGAATCTGGGGGTATATGGAGTCCAGCAGAGACTATCCATGGTCTTAAGTTCTTTGTGGGCAAAGTGACTCATGGGTGATTGTCACCCACACATCATCTTCAAAAGCACCTTCAGTTCTCAGAGAGATTTTTAAACTCAAGAATTAGCAAAGTGAAATATGGGCCAAGATAATCTCCCACAGGAAACTAAACAGATTCTTTTTGTAGGAAAAAAGTGAAAAGACAGCTCATATGTGAAGCAAATTCACCCAGGGAAGCAATTAAGAAACTCAACATACTATTCATAGGAACAAAGCCACAGGCCTGGATTCAAGACCTTTCTCCAGACTCACTGCTCCAGGCCTCAGTTTTCTCATCTGAATAGAGAACCAGTTCGGACTGAAAAATTTCTGAGTTGCCTTCCAGCTCTGACAATCTATGATAATGTCATAAAATGCTTTCTAAGGAAACTGACAAGCGTTTGGAAGATTTAAGAAATGTCTGCTTTGGAGAAGAGCTGAGTAAAACCACCTCAGTGCCATTTACCTCCATCTTCCCCCAACATGCACGAAAAGCCAAACTACCCAACTCTTGGTTTCAGAAGTTTCTGTACCTGGCTTAATGTCCATATTACCCAGGTTTGAAGCCGTAGTAATATGGAAAGCATTGTTTCTGCCTTCTGTGCATTGTCAGACTGTACATGTCCCCGTTCTGACCACCTCTGGGGAATCAATGAGTGAAGGGAGATGCAGCGTTTATCTGTTTGGCAGATGAGATTCTGAATTGGAATTCATGGGGCCCCTGTTGGGTCTGTCATTCTTGCCTCCCCAGCATGTATTATAGCTTCCAGCAACAGCAGCTCCATTTTCCTTGGGAATCGTCTATTTTCCATTCGTATGGTTTAAACAGGGGCGATCCCTCTTACCAGCCAGACCTTGAGCCATCCACATAGTTCACCCACTGACCTTTGAGAGTGGCTTAGGGATGAGCATGCAATCCAGGCCAGGTCAAAAAGAACCTACCCCTGGACTTAATGTTGTAACTATTGGGAAACAGGTGCTTACTTTCTGTTGGAGCTGCTCACATACCAACCTGAAGTAAATATTTCCAACTTAGCTACCCCTGCAGGAAAATTTGTCTGAGAAAAGCCAACACAAAGGAAGGAAGATCCTGTACTCACAGGAATCAGATGATGGATAACAGTACTGGAGCACCTAGATTTCACCAAGCCTGAAGTTTAGCCCTTTATCTTTTCATGGTAATGGCAAATAATTTTTCTTCTTTTTTGACCAGTTCAAGCTGCATTTCTTTTCCTTGTAACCCCAAAAGTCTTGAATAATACATATTTTAGTAAGAAAAAGTCTTTATTCAATTTCTACTAACTAGGTATTGTGGGTATAAGCTGAAGCAATATATGTCACTGTCGTTTTCCTTGAGTAACTGACGCTATTGGTAGTTTAGGTTTCTTCAGGTTGTGACATTTTATAATTCTTGGTGGAGAAGCAATTTAAGCCACTGCACAGATGCCCAACAGCATTCACCATCTTCCCTTCCCTGCCCTGGGTTTATCCCACCTAGGTCTTCAGTCTCCTCCCAGGGTCTCACGTCATGCCCCAGCCAATCCTCTGATTCAGAAAGGATAAGAATCTTTCCCAAGACAATGTAACTAATAAATTTCTCAAGCCAGACTTCAGAGATAGCCTTAAATCTCTTTCCCTTGCCCTGGTCCCTAAATTTGTCTTGAAACTTTCCATCTCTCCATTTCCATTCCACCGTCATAGGCCAAGCCACCATCATCTCTTGCCTGGACCACTGTGACAGCCTCCAAATGCATTCTTTCTTTCTTTCAGATTTGCTCCCCTTAAACTATCCCATTGAATGGTATAATTATGGCTCCCTTGTTAAATTCCTCATTGGCTTCCCAGCTATACTTAGAATATTCCAAACTCCCTAGTTTTGCCCTAAAGGCTGCAGATGATCTGACCTTGCTTCCTCTGCAGCCACCCATCCCATTACTCTCCCTACCACCACCACTGCTCTTTAGACAACAAATCTTGGTTTTCTCTGGTATTTCAAACACACTAAGCCAGCTCCTGCCTCAGAGCCTTTGCGTGTGCTATAATGCTCCACTCCCCACCTGGCTGGTTTCTTCTTTTCCTTTGGGATTCAACTTGAATGTCATTTCCTCAATAAAGATGTGGCCATCACCACTGAGTTAGTCTTATTTCCATAACCCTAGTGATTTTATTGCACTGCCCTCATCACAATTTGATGTTATCTTGTGTATTTATTTACTTGTGTATAGTAGTCAGCCCTACTAGAATAGAAGCTCCATGAAATCTGAGACTTGGCCTGTTCTGTGCCCCAGGGTATTCTCAGCATCTATCAGGGTGCCAGGATTGTGGAAGATACATGCAGATAAGAAATATTTGTTGAATGGATGGATGAAAGCAGAGATGATAGGATTCTAATTTAGATCTGCTTAGATGTTAAGAGACTAAATATCACTTGTGGCAAGATTCCCAAACTTATAGTCAGTAATTCTATTCTTCATTGTGTTACATGAGAAACATCTCACCCATTTTGCTCTATAAAATGGGATTACTATGGTGCACTGTGAAGCTCAATTAGAAGACTGGTGGTCACAACTGAAACATCCAGAGAGGAAAAAAAAACCCATAACATATATCAGGTATTACAACTTATTGCACGCATATCCAGGAAGCCCCCAGACTGTTGCAATCTTCAACAAACTTTGGCTGAAATAGAAACAAAATAGACTTTCTAATCTCTAGTTTTTAATAAAAAAATTGAGGAAAGATGATGAATGTTAAGGCAATTGCAGTAGAAGATGTATTACCTTCCATTGTTCTCTGCTCAGATCTGTAGCTATTCCAGAAAGAGAGACTTGGTTACAAGGTAAATTTCATTTGTTTGGGATAAAGAACAATGTGACATTTTTGACAATGTACTGTAAAATATGCCACATTTTTTAAACAAAGTGAGATATAATAAAAATGAAATATAAGATTTCAGAGAAAAGCTAAGATTAGAAAAGAGCTCATAGCTCTTTTTAGACTGCACATATTTAGGGGGAAAAATCTCCATACCCTCATATGCAAATACAAATTAAATAACAACAAGGGTAATTAACTAATTATTTTGTGGCTTATTTAACATTTATCTTGCACTAGACTATAAGCTTCATAAAAGCAGGGACTATGTCTGTCTATGACTCCAGTGCGTAGCAGAGAGAGCTTGTACTCTAATGAATGGAATAGTAATGTGTAATACAAGCCTCTTGGGTTCTTTACAGGAGGAAATAACGCTTCGTAGAATCATTAAATTTCAAAATCATTGTGAAACTCAGTACAAGAACAATAGAGTTCACCCATGGACAAAAGATCCCTGCGGTGGGATGAGAAGGGGTTGAATGTCATCTCTCTGTTTAACCCAGCACTTAACAGTGGAGGTAGCTAAGTGCCAGACCCAGATAATTCCTAGAAAAATGTGGCCTGGGAACCCCAAGAGCAAAGGTGGAGATTATGGGAAGAAGCTAGGCCAGACTTTGCCTGTCAAGGCAGGACCAGTTGATGAAATCCTGGTTCCGAACCTGCCCCTAAATCTGGGTCACCTTAAATAAGTCACTTGCCCTCCTTGAAACTTCAGTCTCTATAGCCTCAAAGAAGAGGAAGGTAGATCAGAGATTCAAAGCCCCCCTCAGAACATTAACAATTAGTGGTTTTACAATGTGCCAGAAACAGGAAAGCTCTGAAACCAAGCCAAACTCTGCTTTAACAGAGCCTCCTAGGCCCTTTCTGTAATGCCAGGACCCAGTAACCCCCTTCCCTGGATATGGCCAGCCCACAGCAGAGACACTGTCCAGGGGAAACAACTACTCACATCCCAGCCTTCTACCACAATGGTTAAAATACAGAGTCTAGAGTCAGACAACCTGGATTCAAACCCCACAACTGCCATTTGTCAACTATGTGACCTTGAGCACAGCTCCAATTTCTTTATCTGCAAACTGGTGATAAATAGTGGTTATCTTCATCATGATGACATTATGAAGATTTCATGCCTAGCATATAATAAGTGCTCAATAAATGTTTGCTAGCACCATCATCACCATCAACACCGCCACTGGGTCATAGTTTCCTCCTCTTCCTGTCAAGTGCAGCCAACCCTGAAACTTCCTCTTATTTTATTCTCAGCTCCTTCAGAACTGCGTAAGCCCAAGCACATCATGCCACTGGTATAAATCAAAAGCACATGATCTCCCTTCACTGACTGGTCCCCATAAATCAGCATCACTCCCCAAACAGAGACAGATTCAGATTTCAAATTCATTTTCCAGTCTACCCTCTCTCTGGTGAAAGATGACTTCTCAAAGCAGAGTTTAGAGCGGAAAAGAAATTTTTAGAGATGACCCAGGTCAGCCCCCTCAGTTTACAGTTAGGAGCACTGAGGCCCAGAGAGGAAATGAGAGTTGCCCAATTAGAAACTGAGAATTGCAAAGATAAGTCTAGGACCCAGAAATCCTGATTCCCAGCCCTGCATAGTATTTACTCAGTGGCATAACGGGAGACAAAAAAGGGACGCAATCTGTCCCAGATATATGGGCAATAAGGACGTGCATTGTCTGTAGAGGATTTTGAATTTATTTATCATTTATTTATTTATTTATTTATTTATTTATTTATTTATTTATTTTTGAGACAGAATCTTGCTCAGTCTTGCCCAGGCTGGAGTACAATGGCACAATCTCAGCTCACTGCAACCTCTGCCTCCCAGGTTCAGGCAATTCTCCTGCCTCAGCCTCCCAAGTAGCTGGGATTGCAGATGTGAGCCACCACGCCTGGCTAATTTTTGTATTTTTAGTAGAGATGGGTTTTCACCATGTTGGCCAGTCTGGTCTCAAACTCCTGACTCAGGTGATCCACCCACCTTGGCCTCCCAAAGTGCTGGGATTATAGGCATGAGCCACCACGCCCAGCCAGTAATTTTTAAAATGATCAAAAAGCATCTGCTTTTTATTATTACCAGGTACCTGAAATCCTAAACAATGCCAGTGATAAAATATGCCTCCTTCCTCCCCCAAAAATCTTGGTTGGTCTAAGATCAAAATAATTGCTGAGGTTACTGTGGAACTTTGATAATATATAAATAAGTTTGGAATGTTTAGGCTCAGCCCCACAGATTAATTTCAAAAGAAAGTTTGTGACAGTTTGAAATTTGGGCCTGGTTCCTGCCTCCAGCCCCTGTTGCACTACATATTCCAGCATTTAAACAGTAGATTTGGAATAAACAAGGATAGCACAGTGATTGTAAAGCAGGGAAAACAGAAGTTGAGATCATTCAGTTCTGTCATTCTATGGAATCACTTAATGCTCCTATTTTGGTTTAAAATGTAAAACACTGAGACAGGTACAAAATGTAAAGTATAGCATCTTTGTTTGGTAAGTGAAAAATTTAGTGCAGATGTCAACTATTACCGAGTTTGAATAACACCTTTAAAAATAAAATGAATTCTAACCAGGCATGGTGGTAGGCAACCTGTAATCCCAGCTTCTCAGGAGGCTGAGGCTGGAGGATCGCTTGATCTCAGGAGCTCAAGGCTGCAGTGAGCTGAGGTTACAGCACTGAACTCTAGCCTAGATGACAGAGCGAGATCTCCTGTCTCTAAAAAATAAGTAAATAAGTAAAATGAATGATTCTGATGTGTTGATTGTTTTAAAACCAAAGGTTGTTTCTGATCGTTATATAGTTATTTCTGAAAATAATTCTGTTGTCTAATTGAGGGAGGCAATATTAAATGATCTTCTCCAAATGTCAAATACGCTAAGTACGCCACTGTTTTTGTTACACAGTAATATATGAAGGTTGGAAGAAGCTCTTACTGCTCACTCCTGATATTTCCTTTTACTCGGAGCAGTCTTCCTTGTTATAAAACCTAAACCTTTCCCCAGCCTCTTTTGCCCCATCTCAACCCTCCCCACTCCCCTGATCTCTGCACTCTTTGCAGAGAGGAGCTTATAAATAAGGATTTGAGGACAGGTATACAAAGCTCTACAATTGTTTCTCTTCCTTATTGGGCCAGGTGACCTACAGAGAACTCACACCCATCGTCTTGGCAGTGAATTGTACAAAAGTAGGTTTTCCCAAGAAAGGAGCTTGTGCCGGCCAGGATGGAGTAGCAGGGCTTTGTTATTCTGTCCATTCAGGCTACATCCTCCAGTGTTAGCTTTCCGGTAGTAAAAGTGGCATTTTGATCTCACTTCTGATTTATTTCTTTGTCTTATTTCTTAATGCAGATTTCTGACACAGAACTCAAGCCAAAGAGTTACGATTTATTAGACCCCTCATACCCTAACAATCAGGATGATAATAATGATGCTAACAATAATAACTTTGTTCAAAGCCATCAATGTTTTGAATATTTACTGTGTCAGGCACTGTGATGAATTTAAATGCGTGATCTTACTGAATCTCCCTGACACATCTTTGAGGCAGGTTCCATTGTTGTCTCTATGTTACAGATGAGAAAATTGAGGTTTAAAGACTAATAAACTTGCCCACCACCACGCAGCTAGCAAATGGCGGCAGAGGACTTGAACTGCCTTGATCAATTCAGAGCCCAAACACTTCCCCACTATACCGTTTTGCTTAATGGTGGGAGAAAACTTCTTTATGGACCCTACTGGTTAAACTTAGAACTAATGTTCTCGGGATTCCTTGGGCCTCCAGCTATTGAGATTAGGAAAAGGGCTCATGTTCCCTTGCTTCTGTGTTCTGTTGATTTGCTCTCCCTCACCTTACCCCAAGTGACAAGTCCAGGAGATTTAATTTGGAGATGGGCTCCGTGCTATAAACACGGAGCACAGCAGTCTGGTCGAGCCCAGCTCTGTGGCCCCACCTTTGCTGGTCATCTTGTCTAAAAGTCTTGCTTTCCAACTTGACTTGGCACTTCCCCACACTAGGACTGCCAGCTACAGTATCTTCAGCCTGAAAGGGGCCAGGGCAGCACATACTGCTACAAGGTGACAAACTCAGCTCACGCCACGCCTTCTTGGCAGAACCTGCCACCACTTTCTGGCGCAATTTCAGGAGCACTGGAATATGCCAATCTGCTTCTACCCAAAAAGTACCTTTCCTTCCCCCCATTCAACTGGCTTATCTTGGGGCCTGAATTTCCACCATTATAACTGTAACCCTTTGATGTAAGACATTATCCCACATTAAAAAGCAAGATGTTCAATGAAAAGTCACAGTCTAAGCCTCAGTTTCTTCCCGTACAGTGGGATTATACACAATACCCACTTCAGAGGGTTGATGTGAGAACTAAAAGAGATCATACATGTTACAAACTTTATGTTTTGTTCCTGGCGCAATATACATACACGATAGATATTAGCAGTTACCACATCACCATCACTAAATTTGGATGTGTTCATTTATATGATTTCCTTTTTCAAGTGTTTAGGTATGGAATGTAGAACTAATCCCAAGACACAGTCAATCCACCTGGGAGTTGGGAAATTTGAATTCTGACTCTGATTTGGCCATTAATTCTCTATGTTCTAGGAATGCCACACATATTCTTTGAGCCTGTTTAATTGTCTTCATTCTCCTCATCACTGTTACATAAAAAACTTTTTATTTCTACAACCTATTTTGGTCCACAGATCTGTTTGATATTCCCTATCTTATTTAGGCTTCCCAGTAAACCTAGATCGGGGGCAGACATGGTATTTGAGGCTCCAAGGATGTAAGAGACTTTCCCAAAGATCACAGAGCTAGCTAAGGGCAGAACCAGCACAACTTCCAGAAGGCATCACCCAGCCTCCAGCCCAAGAGTAGTTTGCCAGCATGAAAGTTAGAGAATTTCAGAGCTGGGAGAGCTTTCTAGGTAGTCTCATTCAGTGATGGTGACTACCTAGCCCATAAGAGCCTCTTCTCCATTCCAAATCTATGGCAGGTATCACTAATTGAACATGAAAATAATTCTATCAATATTTCTCAGCACAGTGATCCAAGAATTTACCACTGAATCAAAGCTGCACATGGGACAAACTCATCATTCTTTTCCCATCCAGACCAGAGGTTGGCAATCTACAGTCCAGACATATATTGCCAGCCTATGAGTTTCTAACATCTCTTAGTTTGTGGTTCTCAAGCTTGAACATGCCTACAAATCACATCTGCATCTTGTTAAAATGCAGATTCACATTCGGTAGGTCCAGGTTGTAGCCCAAGTGCTGCATTTCTACCAAGCTCCCAGGTGCCGCAGCTGCCGTAGGTTCAAAGACCACATATTGGGTGGCAGATTCCTAGGGGATGTGGTGGAGATGCTCCACCTCTCTGTGTACACAAGCCTCAAACTGATACTCTTTAGGAATGTCGATCCTGTCCCAAAGCTGTCCCTTGAGCACACATGTGTTGGAAAGAAGAACAGGAGAGGGCATGCAGTATGATAGTCTTCTCCCTTTCCTGTACCCCTCCGCACATAGCTGCATGCACGCACGCACTCACTCATGCACACATTCAGAGACTCTTTTCAGGCTTTTAGGGGTATTTGTATGGTTTGGCAGATAGCACACTAACCTGGGAATTAAGAAACCTGACTTCTAGCCTTGCCTCTTCAACTTTCTGTGTGATCTTGGCCAAGACACTCCAGTTTGTCTACTTCCTCCTAAAAGGATCCTACCCTGAAGCGAGCATAGTCTAAAAGCTTCTCACAAAAGCCATCTTGCCACCTTGCCCCAAGATCCACTTTCTTCCTTGGAAGGTTAGGGGAATACAAATCTAGAAGGCATAGAGGTATGGCTTGGGTACTTAGCCAATTTCCCACCAGGTTTGTGATGGGAAGTGACGGATGAGCAGTAAGACTCAAAGTGTCTGTGCTTAAAGGACCACAGCACCCAGCCAGTCCAACCTCTTCATTGATTATCATGCTCCTCCTTGTTTATTCATCTTGTTTAAAACAAAGGACCCCAAACACCTTTGCCCTAGAGCCTCAAGCAAGGTTTAGCAACTAAAATATACTTAGAAACTCCAACAAATCTTACAAACCATAGCAGCGTTTTAATGACCCTGAAGTAAATCCTGATTTGGAAAAAAAAATAAAATAATAAGGCTTATTTTCCCTGCCAACTTAAAAGTATCTTCACCCCAGCGGCCCTGTCCTTACTGTGAGGGGAGATGCAATGATGCTGATTCCACGGGCTGGAACGGCCAGAGCCAGCTGGAAATCAGGAGATCCGGGCTCTAGTCCAGCTCTGGCAGCATCAGACAAGTCTGATTCTCAGTTTCTTCATCCATCAAATGGAGATAATAATAGCAAACATGTATTGAGTACATAATATATGGCAGGCACTATTGTTTTTATTGCTATTTAATCTTCACAAATGCCCTAATCTATTTGTACCATGTTACCTAATTTACAGATGAGAAAACCACAACTTGGGGAGGTTTAACACCATGGAAAAGCCCCATAACAAATTGGCCATCTTTTTTTTTTTTTTTTTGAGATGGGGGTCTCACTATGCTGTCCAGGCTGGTCTCAAACTCCTAGGTTCAAGCAATCCTCCCACCTCAGCCTCCTGAGTAGCTGGCATTGCAGGCATGTGCCACCATGCCTGGCTGTCAAGTTGGTCTTCTCAACTCCAAACTTTTGCTCAAAACCCTTGCATTAAACCACCTTTTCTTACTCTGTAGCATTCACAGAATTTCTGTTATGATTCAAATAATAAGGTAGATGTGAAAATCACTTCATATTCCTAAGTGCTGTATACATATTGTTGTGATTGTTATGGTAAAGCAATGAATGCCAAGCAGAGAAATCTCACGCACAAGAGTAGGGGGGTTAAACAAGGAGGAATTGGGGTTCTTCTCAGGGAGCCTTAGACATAAACATCTCTCGATTCCACTTCTCTGTAATCTCATGGCCCTAACTAATCCCTCACTCCCACCTCCCTGCCCCAACACTCCACCACCACGTACACACATATACACAGCCTCCATTACCTGCTGCTTACCTTCTGCCCTGGATATACCCAGCTAAAGTCCATAGCAATCTCTGGCTCACCCAGAACCATGTAGGTCACACTGAAGTTTTCTCCTAGTTGGACTGATGTTGCTGAAGCTTGGATGGTGGGCTTAGGGGAGGAAGATAGGTCTGTCATGGATTAGAGGGTAGAGAAGTTAGAGACAAACATGTTGACTTGATTGTTAGAATTGTTGAATTGATGGTAGGTGGAGGGATGGAGAGATGGATGAATAGTAATACCCATCTCTTTTTATAGAGACCCTACCAAACAGGATATACTTCCACATGTCTAATTAACCCCATCACTTTAGAAATTCCCTGGGGTCTCTCAGAGCTGACCTCACTTCACAGTTTTACCTTTGGTTTTCATCCTTCTTCTCATAGGTGGGTAATAAGAGGTGAAAGGGAGGAAAAGTTGAAGATTCCTTCTTTGTAAAGCGAGCTGCCTTTTAATCCAATTCTCCTGTCTCCCACTCTCTCGTTATAGTTATGGATTTGGGCAGCTTCTTGCCATGGTTACACAATCTTCTGATTAAATTCTGCCAGCCAGCCAGCTCCAGTTTCAGAAAGTGAATGAATAAACAAACTGCTGCACTAAACCAAAGGAGAAGACACACCCTTGGGTACAAGGAGAGTTCCCTGAAGGCCAAGTCAATTGAAACCATATTAAAAGGAGTATAGAGGCCTAAATATAGGAGGGGAAAAGGATGGCCTTATTCTAGTTGAACTGCATTCAAGAAACAAAAACTGATAGAAGTAAAATGTGGCTAGAACTTGGAAGCAGAGCAGATGATTAGGTGTAAGACACTGGATAAGCCCCTTTGCTTCTGTAAGACTCAGTTTCTTTAGCTGCCACATGGCAGAATCATATTCACTAGCAATTGTAAGGCACTGACTGTGTGCCAGGTACTATGCCAAGCACTGTAACAGTTAATATGTAACACGTAGATTATTTGAAAGAACTGAAGTTGTTTAGCCCAAGGAAAAGCAGACTGGGAAGGAAAAGATGAATTTAAGTATGTACTATAATGTGAAAGAAATACTAAGTTTATTTTGTGTTCCTTTAGGCTTTAGAGTTGAAAGAGCATGAAATTACATCAGACCTCAGGGTGAGTACTGGATCTGCCAGTGCCTCACTTTTTGACATTAGAACATTTATTAACCCTCCTTGGCCTCAGTTTTCTGGCCTGCAAAATAGGGATAATGCCACCTACCTCATACATTACAGGGAGGGCTCAATTAATGTAGGTAAATGGTATTAAGTACATAACACACACTAAGAGCTCAATAAATGTTTATTTCTTCTTTATCCACAGAGAATTAGAAATAATGGACAATTGCTCCATACCATGACCTCGACCAAAGGGAGACCTGGATAGCTTAAGGATTTTGTACCATTTACTTGAATGCAACCCTCACCCTGGCTATAATTATTGTATATTCACATGCATCTATACCAAGTTAAATTTGGGACCCACTCCAAACTTAATAATTAGGATTCTCAAACACAGGAGGGTGGGGAAAAATCCACTCATTCTATCAAAATAAACAATAGAGCTTTCTTTCCCTTATAATCCTATTAGCTTTTGTAATAGAAGTAGACTGCTTTATAACTGGTAAGTTCCCTCAGGGGAAGGATTGCATTCATCTTTTTTACCGCAGGAATACCAGCACCAAGCACGGTGCATACATTGTGAGTGCTCTATAGATAGGTCCCTGATTAATAATGTCACTTCTCTGTCACTTTACTTTTTACTTGGGTATCCTTTGCCCCCATTCCTCCACCTTTACTCCTAAGAACATAAACTCCAGAGCAGAGGATGACATACTCATCTAATTTCCTTTATTTCAGACATGTTAATATTACCAAATTTATATTTGCAGCCCAGACCTCACCCATGAGCTCTAGATTTACATATCCAACTTTTTGCCTAGTCTAGGTGTTTAATCCAAAATAAATAAATACTTCAAAGGACCCTGAATATGCCCCCAAAGAAATCTTAAATCTACCTTCAAACAAATGAATAAATAAAAGCCAGCCCACCCCCCATTTTCCTCATCTTAAATAATGATACCATCATCTGTCTAATTGTTTAGATTAAAAAAATCTAAAATTCATTCTTGATTCCTCATTATCAATCTACATTTAATCCATCAGCCAGTCTTGTCAGTTCTGTCAAAATGGAGCCTTCCCTCAGTAACCACAGGGGATTGGTTCTAGGACCTCCCTCAGATATAAAATCCAATCCACAGATGCTCAAGGCCTTGATATAAAATGGCAGAGAGGTCGGGTGAGGTGGCTCAAGCCTGTAACCCTAGCACTTTGGGAGGCTGAGGCGGGCAGGTGACTTGAGCTCAGGAGTTTGGGACCAGCCTGGGCAACATGGCAAAACCAAGCCAAGCATTATTGCGCACTCCTCTAGTCCCAGCTACTCGAGAGGCTGAAGTAGGAGGATCACTTGACCCTGGAAGGCCAAGGCTGTAGTGAGCTGTGATTATGCCACTGCACTCCAGCCTGGGTGACACAGCAAGACACTGTTTCAAAAAAATAAAAATAAAAATGGCAGACAAAAGGCAGGACTAACTTGAAGCTCCCACTCAGACAGACAGAACAGTGTGTGTAGACTCACATTGTAAACTTTTGCTCCAAGAACTACTGTGGGAACATACCAGGAAAGCTGAGAGAATCCACAGACCCTCTGAAGGAAGGGGTGTGCCACTGCAAGCTCGGTGAGACAGCCAAAACACTGTGAGTGCCCAGAGTGTGAGAGGAGGAATGTCTGCCCTCGAACACACATCCTCAATGGGGAACCTGAAGGTCCAGATGACAGGAGAAGCATTTGACCTTATGTGGAGGTGAGATGAATTTAGAGAACTGAGCAAAATATAGGGGTAGAGGAAGCAGCAGTAAAAGCCCTGTGGGCGCTCTCAGTCCCCAGAAAAGCCATTCCTGACTGTCTCTCACAGTTGCTTGGGGAGGGCTGCCAGTGGAACTGGGGAAAGACCACAGGGAGAAGAAAACTTCCAGCTGAACTTTGTAACAATTTTGACCAAATGCAAAGATTCCCCGGACAGAATCCAGGGCAGGAGGCAAACCAGGAGTGCAGATACCAGCACAGAAGCTACCACAGGCAGGGAGGCGTAAAATCTGAAAGCCCTGCTTGCTTTCTCAGCAGGGAGGCTTGTAGCTTGAGGGCAAGTTCTCAGCCCTGCTCACTGATTGCCTGGAAATAAACTCAGTGCTGTTGTTGGGGGTGGAACTCAGTGCTGTTGGGGCAGGGGTGGGGACGGGCGTGTGGGGGGCGGGGGGGTTGTGGCACAGTGCGAATGAGACTAGCCTTTTAGGCTGCATGGGAGCTGGGTGAGGCCTGTCACTGTCGGCTTTCCCCTACTTCCCTGGTGACCTGTGTGATGCAGCCATAATCCCCCTGGGAATGTAACTCCATCAGCCTGAGAACTACCTCCCGATCCACAACAGCAGCCACAGCAAGTGCCGCCCAAGGAAAGTCTGAGCTCAGACATGCCTAACCCTGCTTCTACCTGATGGTCTTTCTCTACCAGCCCCAAGTAGCCAAAGACAAAGGACACAATCTCTTGTGAGCCTCTATGGTCCCACCTACCACCTAAGAAACCGAAGTACTTATTCAAGCAAAAGCATCAGGTAACCTACAAAGGAAAATCTATCAAATTAACATCAGATTTCTCAGCAGAAACTCTACAAGCTAGAAGGGATTGGTGTCTTATATTTTGCCTCTTTAAACAAAATGATTATCAGCCAAGAATTTTGTATCCAGCAAAATTAAGCTTCATAAATAAAGGAAAGATACAGTCCTTTTCAGACAAACAAATGCTGAGAGAATTCACCAACTACCACACCAGTACTACAGGCACTGCTAAAAGGAACTCTAAATCTTGAAACAAATGCTTGAAATACACCAAAATAAAACCTCCTTAAAGCACAAATCTTACAGGACCTGTAAAACAATAACAAAATGAAAAAAAAAAAAAGACCCAAGTTATTCAGGCAACAACTAACATGATAAACAGAATAGTACCTCATATCTCAATACTAACGATGAGGGTAAATGGCCTAAACGCTCCACTTAAAAGATACAGAATGGAAGAATGGATAAGAATTCACCTACCAAGTATCTGCTGTCTTCAAGAAACTCACCTGACACATAAAGACTCACATAAACTTAAGGTAAAGGGGTAGAAAAAGATATTCCATGTAAATGAACACCAAAAGCAAGCAGGAGTAGCTATCATTAGACAAAACAGACTTTAAAGCAACAACAGTTAAAAAAGACAAAGAGGGACATTATATAATGATACAAGGACTAGTCCAACAGGAAAATATAACAATCCTGAATATATATGCACCTAACACTGGTGCTCACAAGTTTATAAAACAATTACTACTAGACCTAAGAAATGAGATAGATGGCAACACAATAGTGGGGGACTTCAATACTCCACTGACAGCACTAGACAGGAAATCAAGACAGAAACTCAACAAAGAAACAATGGACTTAAACTATACCCTAGAACAAACAGACTTACCAGATATTTACAGAACATTCTACCCAACAACTGCAGAACATAGAATCTATTCATTAGCACTTAGAACATTCTCCAAGATAGACCATATGATAGGCCACAAAACAAGTCTCAATAAATTTAAGAAAATCAAAATTATATCAAGTACTCTCTGAGACCACAGTGGAATAAAATTGGAAATCAACTCCAAAAAGAACCCTCAAAACCATGCAAATACATAGAAATTAAATATCTTCCTCCTGAATGATCATTGGGTCAATAAAATCAAGGTGGAAATTTAATAATTATTTGAACTGAACAATAATAGTGATAAAACCTATCAAAACCTCTGAGATACAGCAAAAGCAGTGCTAAGAGGAAAGTTCATAGCATTGAATGCCTACATAAAAATTTTTGAAAAAGCACAAATGAACAATCTAAGGTCACACCTCAAGAAACTAGAGAAATAAGAACAAAGCAAACCCAAACCCAGAAGAAGAAAAGAAATAACAAAGAACAGAGCAGGACTAAATGAAATTGAAACAAAATATGAAAGATAAATGAAACAAAAAGCTGGTTCTTTGAAAAGATAAAATTGATAGACTATTAGTGAAATTAACCAAGAAAAGAAGAGAGAAGATCCAAATAAGCTCAAATTAGAAATGAAACAAGAGATATTACAACTGATAGCAAAGAAATACAAAAGATCATTCAAGACTACTATGAATACCTTTATGCACACAAACTAGAAAACCTAGAGGAGATGAATAAATTTCTGGAGATATACAACCCTCCTAGATTAAACCAGGAAGAAAAAGAAACTCTGAACAGACCAATAACAAGCAGCAACATTGAATGGTAATAAAAATAATTACCAAGAAAAAAAAGTCCAAGACCAGATGTCTTCATAGGTGAATTCTATCAGACATTCATAGAAGAATCTGTACCAATCCTATTGACACTATTTCCAAAGGTAGAGAAAGAGAATCCTCCCTAAATCATTCTGTGAAGGCAGTATCACCCTAATAGCAAAACCAGAAATGGGCATAACAAGAAAGAAAACTACAGATCAATATCCCTGATGAACATAGATGTAAAAATCCTCAACAAAAATACTAGCTTACTGAACCCAACAGTATATCAAAAAGATAATCCACCATGATCAAGTGGGTTTCATACCAAGAATGCAGGGATAGTTTAATGTAAGCAAATTAATAAATGTCATACACTACATAAACAGAATTAAAAATAAAAATCACATGATCATCTCAATAGATGCAGGAAAAGCATTTGACAAAATCCAGCATCCCTTTATGATTAAAACTCAGCAAAATTGGCATACAAGGGACATACCATAAATAATAAAAGCCATTTATGACAATCCCACAGGCAACATTATACTGAATGGGGAACAGTTGAAAGCATTCTCCCTGAGAATGGGAACAAGATAAAGATGCCCACTTTTACCACTTCTATTCAACATAGTACTGGAAGTCCTAACCAGAGCAATCAGACACGAGAAAGAAATAAAGGTCATTCAAATTGGTAAAGAGGAAGTCAACCTGTCACTGTTTGCCAATGCTATGATCATATACCTAGAAAATCCTAAAGACTCATCCAAGAAGCTTCTATTAATAGATCTGATAAATGAATGCAGTAAAGTTTCTGGATACAAAATTAATGTACACAAATCAGTAGCACTGCTATCCACCAACAGAGACCAAGCTGAGAATCTAATCAAGAACTCAACCCCTTTCACAACAGCTGCAAAAAAAAAATAAAATAAAACACTTAGGAATATACCTAACCAAGGAGGTAAAAGTCCTCTACAAAGAAAACTACAAAACACTGTTGAAAAAAATCATCGATGACACAAACAAATGGAAAGACATCCTATGCTCATGGATGGGTAGAATCAATATTGTGAAAATGACCATATTGCCAAAAACAATGTACAAATCCAATGCAATTATCATCAAAATACCACCATCATTCTTCACAGAACTAGAAAAAACAATCCTACAATTCATATGAAACAAAAGCAGAGCCCACATAGCCAAAGCAAGACTAAGCAAAAAGAACAAATCTGGAGCCATCACACTACCTGACTTCAAACTATACTATAAGGCTATAGTCACCAAAACAGCATGACACTGGTATAAAAAATAGGCACACAGACCCATGGAACAGAATAGAGAACCCAGAAATAAACTCAAATACTTACAGCTAACTGATCTTTGACAAAGCAAACAAAAACATAAGTTGGGGAAAGGAAAACCTATTTACCAAATGGTGCTGGGATAATTGGCTAGCCACATGTAGAAGAATGAAACTGGATCCTCATCTCTCACCTTATATAAAAAAAAGTCAACTCAAGATGGATCAAAGACTAAAATCTAAGACCTGAAACCATAAAAATCCTAGAAGATAACATTGGAAAAACCCTTCTAGATATCAGCTTACGCAAAGACTTCTTGACCCAGAACCCAAAAGCAAATGCAACAAAAAAAAAAGATAAATAGGTGGGATTTAATTAAACTAAAGAGCTTTTGCACAGCAAAAGAACAGTCAGCAGAGTAAACAGACACCCCACAGAGTGGGAGTAAACCTTCGCAAACTATGCATCTGAGAAAGGACTATTATCCAGAACCTACAAAGAACTCAAACAAAACAGCAAGAAAAAACAAATAATCCCATCAAAAAGTGGGCTAAGGACCTGAATAAACAGTTCGCAAAAGAAGATATACAAATGGCCAACATACATATGAAAAAATGCTCAGCATTGCTAATGATCAGGGAACTGCAAATCAAACCACAATGTGATACCACCTTACTCCTGCAAGAATGGCCATAATGAAAAAATCAAAAAATAATAGATGTGGGCGTGGATGTGGTGAAAAGGGAACACTTTTACACTGTTGATGGGAATGTAAAGTGGTACAACCACTATAGAAAACAGTGTGGAGATTTCTTGAAGAACTAAAAGTAGATATACCATTTGTTCCAGCAATCTCACTACTGAGTATCTAACCAAAGGCAAAGAAGTCATTGCACGAAAAAGATACTTGGATACACATGTTTATAGTTGCATAATTTGTAATTCCAAAACTATGGAACCAGCTCATATGTCTATCAATCAACAAGTGGATAAGGAAAATGTGATACACACACACACACACACACACATACATATACATACACACACACACCATGATATACTACTCAGCCATAAAAAGGAACAAAATAATGGCATTTGCAGCAACGTAGATGGAGTTGGAAACCATTATTCTAAGTGAAGTAACTCAAGAATGGAAAACCAAACATCATATGTTCTCACTCATAAGTGGGAGCTAAGCTATGAGGATGCAAAGGCATAAGAATGATACAATGAATGGATTTTGGGGATGTGGAGGAAAGGGTGGGTGGAGAGTGAGGGATAAAAGACTACACATTGGGTACAGTACACACTGCTTAGGTGATAGATGCATCAAAATCTTGGAAATTACCACTGAAGAACTTAGCCACGTAACCAAACACCACCTGTTCCCCAAAAACCTATTAAAATAATAAAAATAAAATAGTATTTGCATATAACCTAAGCACATCCTCCCAGATACTTTAAATTACCTCTAGACTACTTCTAATACTTAGTACAATGTAGATGCCATGTAAATAGTTGTTATACTATGTTTAGAGAATAATGACCAAAAAATAATAACAAGTTTGTCAGTAGAGACACAATTTTTTTCTGAATATTTTCAATGTGTGATTGGTTGAATCCACGGATGCAGAACCCATGGATACAGGGGGCCAACTGTATATTCCAAACCTAGCTATTTCTCAGCAGCTTCCCCATAACATCTTAGAATATGCTACTATCATCTCACTCCTTAACTACCACAACAGCCGTTAAGGGATGTCTGTGCTCCCTCCCATTCTCCCCTGCAGTCCACACATCATATATAGCCAAACAATCTTCATAAAATATGTCATATCATTCCCCTGTTTGAAACCTTCTCATTTGTCAACATTCAGCATTTATGGAGCTGCCTTATGTGCTAGGCACTGTTCTAGCTGTTAGAAATATAGCAGCGAAGAAACCAAACAAAAATGCCTGACCTTGGGGAGTATACGTCCTACTTAGGGATGCTGACGATAAACAAAGTGGCTAGTGCCGGGGGTGCAATTTTTATATGGGCAGTCAGGAACAGTCTCAAGCAGAAGGTTGTGTTTGAGCAACGAATTGAGCAAGTAAGGGAATGAGCCATGTGAATATCTGGGGAAAGCTCTTTAGACTGAGGAAACAGCCAGGGCAAGGGCCTGGAAGCAGAAGCATGCCTGGCATGTTCAAGAAACAGCAAGGAAACGCCAGGTAAGACATTGTGAGGGCTTGGCCTTTGCTCTGAGTGAGATGAGAAGACCTTGGACTGTACTGATTAAAACATAGATTAAAAGCCAGCATGATCTGACTTACATTTGTAAAGGAACACTCTGGTTGCTATGCTGATAATAGAGTGAAGGAAGTTAAAGCAGGAAGAAAAGGTGAGAGGTTAGTGCAATAATCCAAACAAGAGATGATGGGGTTTGAACTAAGGAATAACTTCGTGGCAAGTGATGGGTAATCAGACCCCAGACATAATTTGAAGACAGAACCCACAGAGTTTGCAGACAGAGTGGATGTCTGGGAACTGAGGCATCAAGAATGACTCCAGGTATTTTGGCTCAAAAAAACTAAATAGATGGACTCATCCTTCCCAAAGACAGGGGAGACTGCTGGGGAGGTAGATTTGTAGGGACAGAAGGAGGTTCACTTTTGCATGTAAAGTTTGAGTTTCCTTTTAGACATGAAGTAAAAGCATTGAGTAGGCAGTTGTATACACAGGTCTAGAATGCAGAAGTTGCTCTATGGGTATAAATCTGGGAATTATCAGCATATAGATGGTATTTAAAGTCAGGGGACTGGATGAGATCACCTGGGGTGTGATCTTTGGTAGAAATAAGACGAGAGGGATCCACAGACCCTGGGATACTCCAAAGTTAAGAGATATAGGTTAAAAGGAGTAATCAATTAGCAAGAAAAGATGGATTAACTTCCCATTGCACTAGAAAACAATTCAGATACCTTGTCTGCAGGCTTTACATGATCTGGCCCAGTCAACTTTATCTCCTGCTTTCTCTTCTATTCACTAAGCACCAGCCAGCCATACTGGACGCCATTTTGGTCCTCAAATCAATGAAACTCATTCTTCTTTCAAAGCTTTGAACTTGCCTGGAGAGATCTTCTTTCAATCCTTGTAACTAACTATGTGTCACTCAAGTCTCTGAATTTTTATGTTGATTCCAAAAAGAGAAATGCCCCATCCTGCTCAGTTCACATTTTCCTTTACCTTTGTGTGCCTGTCTAGCTCTTTTTATTCTATTGCACTTATCACTATCGTAATTTTCTTACCTTAGTTTCCATTTTTACTGTCTATTACACCCACCCCCAACTCTGGCCAGGTAAACTTAATGAGGGTAAAGACTCCAGGTTGTTTTGTTGACTCCACACAAATGTATCTCCGTTACCTAGATTGGCAACCATTACCTAGTAAGTGCTCAACTTATAGCTGAGGAATGAACATAAACCAAAATCTAGAGGGGTAGAGCAACCTTCTCAAGGTCATCCAAGAGTAACAGAGCCAAGGCTAGAGCCCCAATTCTAACTCTAAAGTCAGGGTTGGTTGGTTTGTACTCCCAGTTATTGCAGAAGGAAAAGGTAGTCTAAATAAAACCATTCATACTCATTTTTAAATTAATAATTGACCAGTTTAACCCTCTTTTCCCTCACCACTCTCTGTAACCATTCATAACTCCACACAGATGTATCCTGGCCACTTGTAACTTTAAGCATGAAAAATAATTGACTAGGATTAGAAGGGAGCTTTAAGAAAACAAATTATAGTGTATTGAAGCTTAGATGGGCAATGGAGGGAGTGCATAGTTACTTTTAATCCAACTTTCCTTTTCCCTTATAATATCATGATCTTGAAAGGTGTTCGGTCAGTGGCCAAAAAAAAAAGAACAAAACTAATTTACATCTCTGCTAGTTGCCTGGTGCTTTTCAGATGTCCCTAAGAGAAAGGATTTTTTCATTCATTCATTTGACAAGTATATATCAAATCAACTATTCTAGAAGCTGATGATCCAACAGTGAACAAAAAATGTAAGGTTCTTATTCTCAGATGCTTAAGTCTGGTCAGTGAGACAGAGAGTAAATAAGTAAGTGAGTAAATGAACAAAATAATGTCCAGTGAGGTTAGGTGATGTGATGACAGTAAAATGGAACAATGTGATACAGAGCATGCAGCTGTCTGAAATAACCGCAGACATTGGATGAATTTTGGATAGGGCTTCCACTCTGGTTTCTGACTTAGCATTAAACCCAGACAGATCTTATGGTTCTCCCCTTGGAATAGTGCTCAGTGCCTCCTCATGGAAAATCCTGGGGGCTCCTTGCCCACTCGACTCCCATTTCACAGACCAGAAATCAAGCCTGACGTGTAGCTTCTGTTTGTGACCCAGCATGTCTCCAACTCCATTTAACACCAAATCCCACTGCTCAGGGCACGATATCTATGAGGACTGGGCCCACATATTTGAACTAATTATGTTGCCCCATTGAGCTACTGACTTACTCTTTACACACCTAACTGAACATTGGGTTAGTCTGCCAAATGCCTCTGGCAGCACATGTGGCTGTAGCTCAGATTAGCCAGGAGAACAGGAGGAGGCATTGATGTCTTTGCTGTGTGGAACAGAATCACACATGCATGTCCGTCCACCTGCTTTGCCCACAGAAGAGTTGAAGTATATTGGGTCAGAGCAGGGTGAGTTCCAAGGAGAATAAACACTATATATATATCATTTAGACTTGTGGTAAGGATTAAATGAGGTAATGTTTGGTGGGAATACCCATACTGATTGGTTAAACTAAATTACCCAAAGTCATATAGCTATTAAGTGGCATGGCTGGGATTCAAACCCATTGTGCCTGAATCCAGACCTGAATTTCTTAATTGCTACTCTACATTTCTGGAAGAGCCTAAGGGAATGTAGTTAGATCAACCTCCTTCTTTTCTAGAAAAGACAACTGAGCCCAAGGAAAAGGCAGACTATTCATCTATTCATTCACTCATCAAATACTTACTGAGCACCTAATGTGCACTAGGAGCTATGTAGATGTCAGAGAAATATCAGTAAGGAAAATGTAGTCCTTGCTCTCAAGAAGCCCGTAGACTGTTTGAGTTCACCTTACTGGTTAATGGGAAAACCAGAACAACTCCAATTCCCCAGTACTCTTTCACTTCATGAGGCAAGAATATCAGTGAGGAATCTCCAGAGAAACTGAACCAATAGGGGGCATAAGTATGTACGTACACATATATATGTATGTATGTTAACGTATGTGTGAATGTTTGTATAAGTGATACATACATAAAGAGATTTATTTTCAGGAATTGGCTCATGCAATTGTTGGGGCTGGTGGGTCTTAAATTAAATGTAGGGCAGGTCAGCAGACTGAAAACTCAGGCAGGAGTTGATGTAGTTGTGAAGCAAAGGTTCCTCCTTTCCAGAAAAATTCAGGATTTGTTCCTACAGTCCTTTAACTGATTGAATAATGCCCATACACATTGTTGAGGGTAATCTCTTGCACTTAAAGTCAACTGATTGTAGCTATTAACCCCACCTGCAAAATACATTCACAGTAACACCTAAATTAGTATTAGATTAACAAGTGAGTACTATAGCCTAATCAAGCTGACGTATAAAACTGTCCATTCCATTCAGTCAGTCCGTCATCCTTCCCATAATTAAATATAGCTGTATCCAGTACTATGGTCTGAATGTTTGTGTCTCTGCCAAATTCATGTGTTGAAATCCTAACCCCCAAGATGATAGTATTAGGAGATGGGGCCTTTGGGAGGTTATTAGTGCTCTTACAAAAGAGACCTCAGAGAGGCCCTCATCTCTTCCACCATGTGAGGTTATAATCAAAAGCCATCTGGAAAGCAGGCCTTCACCAGACAATCTGCTGATGCCTTGATTTTGGATTTCCCAGCCTCCAGAACTGTGAGAACATATTCTGTTTATAAGTGGCCCAATTCATGGTATTTTGTTATAGCAGCCTAAATGGGACTAAGACACCCAGGCTACACCAAAATATCTTCTTTTATTGCCTGCTTTGGTTACAAAATGAGAAAATTATTTCTTGGGTTTTTTCCCAGTGAATGTAAACCTGACTCCTCCTCTCCCATTCTGATGAAACCAAGAAAAATAGATAAACTATGAAAACACTGCAACACAAAATTTGACAAACTTTGGCCTTGTCTTTTTTAGGAGATGACTATTATGTTTTAATGAATATAATGAAGAAAAGGTAAAAACATAATCTTTTTTTTCTTTGTATTTTAGTAGAGATGGGGTTTCTCCATGTTGGTCAGGCTGGTCTCGAATTTCTGACCTCGGGTGATCCACCCACCTTGGCCTCCCAAAGTGCTGGGATTACAGGCGTGAGCCACCGCGCCTGGCCGGTAAAAACATAATATCTAAGGAACATTTGTACTCCTAAATTTTACCACCAGCTTTACAATATGGTCGGGGGTGAAGGGGCATAAATATGGGCCCTATCATATTTGATAGTGTTGCTATTGAAACTTTCAAATAAGTAATTTATCTGTGTGTGTGTGTGTGCGTGTGTGTGTGTGTGTGTAGAGAGAGAGAGAGAAGGAATTGATAAACTCCAATTATACCTTTAGAGATATGCTGGAATTTGATGTCTCAGAAAGTACACTTATAAATAAATGTATTATCTATTACAGATAAATACATAGAATTCACAGGGCCTAATTGTACAATGGTACCTCAGTAATTTAGAATTTGATTAATATAAAAAACAAAGATATCAGACAAGGAGTAATACATTGTATGTTCTTGTCCTGGTTTGATTGCATCCTATTGCCACATAAATTCTCTTATCCTTAGTTTTCTCCCCTTTAAAAATCAATGAGTATAATTAGAGGATTAGGACACTGCCAACTCCAAATGTCAGTCATTCTACACCATTTGAGATAGACAAAGTAAGCACAAGCTCTGCTGATGGGAAAGCAACAAAGATAAACCTACCTAACCTCATAATTAGCCTAAGGTCAGTTTACCTGCCACAACGTAGATAGCAGAGTACCTAGGTTGAACAATACTTACCAGGGTTGAGTTTGTTTGCTGGACCTTAAATGTACAGAATTCAATTAATAATAATTTTGGTCTCCTCATTGGCCCTAGCATGACCTGCTTTATGTATTTGGTTAACTTTAATAATGTGTTTAGTATTGCCAACCCACCACTCAAAACAGAAGATACTTTATAATAACTAACCATATGAAACCCATCTCATTCTGCTATCTTTCTCCAGCTAAGATAAGCATCATCCTAAATCTTGTGTTCATAAGTCTCTTGTTTTCCTTTTTACATAGTTTAACTATATTTATAAGAATCTTCTAAAAGTATTATAGTTATTTTACAAAATGGTTATCAAGCTGAATTAAAATGTGAGCACTTATTTTTTCCCTTAATATTAACTTGCTAAGATTCATCTATACTGTCATATTTCTCTATACTTCATGGCTTTGACCACTGTGTAAACAATGAATTATATTCATTCAGTTCTATGAACATACCACCATTTATTCATATACATTCCGTCAGATGGGCATTTGGGCCATTTCCGGGTTTTTGCCATTGTTAACAGTGCAAAACATTGTTTTGCATATCTTTCTGCTCTTCTACAGAAATGTCCTGGCAATTCTTGGCCCTTTACTCTCTCATGTTGGTGTTAGAATTATCTTAATCAAGTTCTGTGTGGGAAAAAATGGCTAGAATTTTTATTGGAAATTCTTTGAATCTACAAAACAGGTTTAGAAGAATCAACAATGATATTAAGAATTCCTATCCATGAATGTGGTATATCTCAGCATTTATTTAAGTCTTCTTAATAGCTGTTTCCTACAGTTTATATTTTCTCTTTAGAGGTCTTACATATATTTTGCTAGATTTCTTTCTAGGCCTTTGACATTCGCTGATAAAATTATAAATGATGTTCTCTCATTACCTATTAGGTATTGGATCTAGTTACTTTTTTTTAATCTAAATTCATGCCAATCATAATAACATTTTCAATACAAAGCCTGCTTGATCTACAGTCAGTGGAGTGAGATTTTTAATTTTCAGTACTAAGTGGAAGGATTGGATATTGAGACTTTCTTAGAAAGTGGATTTTATTTTTTATAATTTTGGCTTAAATCTTGGCTCTGCCATTTTTGGCCCTGGGGTCTAGGGATAAGTCCTTACCTTCTCTGGACTTAATACTACCTGAGGTAGCTTTTCTCAAAATGACTGCCATCAATACCTATCCTCCCTGTACATTTCCCCATTGAGAGGTAGAACCTATTTTTCCATCTCTTGAATTTGGACTGTTTATGAGTTCTTTGACAAGCAGAAATGGTGAAATTAGTATTGAGTGATATACAGGGATAGGTCACTAGAAGCCTGGAAGCCTCCATCTAAGTCTCTTGGAATGCTCACTATGGAGACAGGCAGCTACCCTTTAAGATGAGAACGCCATACTATGAGTAAGCTCAAGCTAGCCACATGGAGAGGCCAGGTCAAGGCCCACAATGACCCATCAAATCCCCAGTTCCTCCAGCCATCCTAGTTCAGTCAGAAACTATAAGAGTGAGGAAGTCTCTAGATGACTCTAACCTCAGATGCAACCTTGAGAGACCTCAAGAAAAAACTATTCAGCTGAATCCAGTCAATACACAAGAATATGAGATAATAATAAATTACTATTTTAAGCCACTAAAAATCGGATGGCTATGTAACAATGAGAAACAATAAGCAACAGATAACTGAAACCTACATTTTTCAGATTGTGTTTGATAGAACCATAGAATTCCCAGGAAAATTCCCCTATTGGAGAATAGAGATCAATTAATAAGGCCCTACATTTCTTACTCACCCCTATCAGTCCAGGGGCCATTCTTAACTCTTAAACTTGGAGTCCTGAAAAGAACTCCTTTAAAAAGAAAAAAAAAATGGATTGCTGGCAAGATGGCTGAATAGGAACAGCTCTGGTCTGCAGCTCCCAGTAAGATCGATGCAGAAAGTGGGTGATTTCTGCATTTCCAACTGAGGTACCTGGTTCATCTCACTGGGACTGGTTGGACAGTGGGTGCAGCCCACAGAGGGTAAGCCGAAGCAGGGCAGAGCATCACTTCACCCAGGAAGAACAAGGGGTCGAGGAATTTTCTCCCCTACCCAAAGGAAGCTGTGAAGGACTGAGCCTGAGGAACTGTGCACAGTCTGGCTCAGATACTGTGCTGGTCCCATGGTCCTTGCAACCCAAGACCAGGAAATTCCCTATGGTGCCTACCCCACCAGGGCCCTGGGTTTTAAGCACAAAACTGGGTGGCCATTTGGGCAGACACCAAACTAGCTGCAGGAGTTTTTTTTTTTTTTTTCCATAACCCAGTGGCACCTGGAATGCCAGAGAGACAGAACCGTTCACTCCCCTGGAAAGGGGTGCTGAAGCCAGGGAGCCAAGTGGTCTGACTTGGCAGGTCCTACCACCACAGAGCCCAGCAAACTAAAATCCACTGGCTTGAAATTCTCACTGCCAGCACAGCAGCAGTCTGAGATCCACCTGGGACGCTTGAGCTTGGTGTGGGGAGGGGCATCCACCATTGCTGAGGCTTGAGTAGGTGGTTTTACACTCACAGTGTAAACAAAGCAGCCAGGAAGTTTGAACTGGGCAGAGCCCACTGCACCTCAGCAAGGCTGCTGTGGGCAGACTGCCAGTTTTCTACACTCTGGGCAAAGCATCTCTGAAAAAAAGGCAGCAGCCCCAGTAAGGGACTTATAGATAAAACCCCCATATACTGGGACAGAGCACCTGGGGGAAGGGGCGGCTGTGGGTGCAGCTTCAGCAGACTTAAATGTCCCTGCCTGATGACCCTGAAGACAGAAGCAGACCTCCCAGCACAGCGTTCAAGCTCAGCTAAGGGTTGCTGACCCTCATGTGTCCTGACTGGGAGATACCTCCCAGTAGGGGCTGACAGACACCTCATACAAGAGAGCTCTGGCTGGCATCTGGCAGGTGCCCCTCTGGGACAAAGCTTCCAGAGGAAAGAACAGGCAGCAGTCTTTGCTGTTCTGCAGCCTCCGCTGGTGATACCCAGGCAAACAGGGTCAGGAGTGGACCTCCAGCAAACTCCAGCATACCTGAGGCAGAGGGGCCTGCCTATTAGAAGGAAAACTAACAAATAGAAGGCATAGCATGTCCACAAAGAAACCCCATCCAAAGGTCACCAACATCAACGACCAAAGGTAGATAAATCCACAAAGATGGAGAGAAACCAGTACAAAAAGGCTGAAAATTCCAAAAACTAGAATGCCTCTTCTCCTCCATAGGATCACAACTCCTCACCAACAAGGGAACAAGCTGGATGGAGAATGAGTTTGACGAATTGACAGAAGTAGGCTTCAGAAGGTGGGTCATAACAAACTCCTCAGAGCTAAAGGAGCATGTTCTAACCCAATGAAAGGAAGCTAAGAAACTTGAAAAAAGGTTAGATGAACTGCTAACTAGAATAACCAGTTTAGAGAAGAATATAAATGACCTGATGGAGCTGAAAAACATAGCTCAAGAACTTCACGAAGAATACATAAGTATCAATAGCTGAATCAATCAAGCAGAAGACAGGATATCAGTGATTGAAGATAATGAAATAAAGCAAGAAGACAAGATTAGATAAAAAAGAATGAAAAGGAACAAACAAAGCCTCCAAGACATATGGGAATATGTGAAAAGACCAAACCTACGTTTGATTGGTGTACCTGAAAGTGATGGGGAGAATGGAACCAAGTTGGAAAAAACTCCTCAGGATATTATCCAAGAGAACTTCCCCAACCTAACAAGACAGGCCAACATTCAAATTCAGGAAATACACAGAACGCCACAAAGATACTCCTGGAGAAGAGCATCTCCAAGACACAAAATTGTCAAGATTCACCAAGGTTTAAATGAAGGAAAAAATGTTAAGTTCAGCCAGAGAGAAAGGTCGGGTTATACACAAACAGAAGCCCATTAGACTAACAGCAGATATCTCTGCAGAAACCCTACAAGCCAGAAGAGAGTGGGGGCCAATATTCAACAGTCTTTAAGAAAAGAATTTTCAACCCAGAATTTCATATCCAGCCAAACTAAGCTACATAAGCAAAGGAGAAATAAAAGCCTTTACAGACAAGCAAATACTGAGAGATTTTGTCACACCAGGCCTGTCTTACAAGAGCTCCTGAAGGAAGCACTAAACATGGACAGGAACAACCAGTACCAGCCAACTGCAAAAACATACCATATTGTAAGGAGCATCAACACTATGAAGAAACTGCATCAACTAACAGGCAAAACAACCAGCTAGCATCATAATGACAGAATCAAATTCACACATAACAATATTAACCTTAAATGTAAATGGGATAAAGCCCCAATTAAAAGACACAGACTGGCAAACTGGATAAAGAGTCAAGACCCATCATTGTGCTGTATTCAGGAGACCCATCTCACGTGCAGAGACACACACAGACTCAAAATAAAGGGATGGAGGAATAATTACGAAGGAAAAGAAAAGCAAAAAAAAAAAAAGCAGGGGTTACCATCCTAATCACTGATAAAACAGACTGTAAACCAACAAAGATCAAAAAAGACAAAGAAGGGCATTACATAATGGTAAAGGGATCAATGCAACAAGAATAGCTACCTATCTTAAATATATATGCACCCAATACATGAGCACCCAGATTCATAAAGCAAGTTCTTAGAGACCTACAAAGAGACTTAGACTCCAACAAAATAGTAGTGAGAGACTTTAACACCCCACTGTCAATATTAGACAGATCAACAAAACAGAAAATTAACAAGTATATTTAGGACTTGAACTCAGCTCTAGCCTAAGCAGACCTACTAGATTTCTACAGAACTCTCCACCCCAAATCAACAACAGAATATACATTCTTCTCAGCACCTCACTGTACTTATTTGAAAATTGACCACATAATTGCAAGTAAAACACTCCTCAGCAAATGCAAAAGAACAGAAATCATAACAAACGGTCTCTCAGACCACAGCGTAATCAAATTAGAACTCAAGATTAAGAAATTCACTCAAAACTGCACAACTACATGGAAACTGAAAAACCTGCTCCTGAATGACTACTGGGTAAATAACGAAATTAAGGCAGAAATAAAGATGTTCTTTGAAACCAGTGAGAATGAAGACACAATGTACCAGAACCTCTGGGACACATTTAAACCACTGTGTAGAGGGAAATTTATAGCACTAAATGCCCACAAGAGAAAGCAGAGAAGATCTAAAATCGACATCCAAACAGCACAATTAAAAGAACTAGAGAAGGAACAGCAAACAAATTCAAAGGCTAGCAGAAGACAAGAAATTACTAAGATCAGAGCAGAACTGAAGGTGACAGAGACACGAAAAACCCTTCAAAAAAATCAATGAATCCAGGAGCTGGTTTTTTGAAAAGATCAACAAAATAGATAGACTACTAGCCAGACTAATAAAGAAGAGAGAAGAATCAAATAGAAGCAATAAAAAATGATAAAGAGGATATCACCACTGATCCCAAAGAAATAAAAAATACCATCAGAGGATACTATAAACACTTCTATGCAAATAAACTAGAAAATCTAGAAGAAATGGATAAATTCCTGGATATATACACCCTCCCAAGTCTAAACCAGGAAGAAGTCGAATCCCGGAATAGACCAATTACAAGTGCTGAAATTGAGGCGGTAATTAATAGCCTACCAACCAAAAAAGCCCAGGACCAGAGGGATTCACAGCCGAATTCTACCAGAGGTACAAAGAGGAGCTGGTACCATTCCTTCTGAAACTATTCCAAACAATGGAAAAAGAGGGAATCCTCCCTAACAAATTTTATGAGGCCAGCATCATCCTGATACCAAAATGTGGCAGAAACACAACAAAAAAGGAAAATTTCAGGCCAATATCCCTGATGAACGTCAATGCAAAATCCTCAGTAAAATACTGGCAAACTGAATCCAGCAGCACTGGCAAACTGAATCCAGCTTTTTGATGGATAAGCATCAAAAAGCTTATCCACCACAATCAAGTCGGCTTCATCCCTGTGATGCAAGGCTGGTTCAACATATGCAAATCAATAAACATAATGCGTCACATAAACAGAACCAATGACAAAAACCACATGATTATCTCAATAGGTGCAGAAAAGGCCTTTGACAAAATTCAACACCCCTCCATGCTAAAAACTCTCAATAGACTAGGTATCGATGGAATGTATCTCAAAATAATAAGAGCTGTTTATGACAAACGCACAGCCAATATCATACTGAATGGGCAAAAACTGGAAGCATTCCCTTTTAAAACTGGCCCAAGACAAGAATGCCATCTCTCACCATTCCTATTCAACATAGTATTGGAAGTTCTGGCCAGGGCAATCAGGCAAGAGAAAGAAATAAAGGGTATTCAAATAGGAAGAGAGGAAGTCAAATTGTCTGTTTGCACATGACATGATTGTATATTTAGAAAACCCCATTGTCTCAGCCCAAAATCTCCTTAACCTGATAAGCAACTTCAGCAAAGTCTCAGGATACAAAATCAATGAGCAAAAATCACAAGCATTCCTATACACCAATAATAGACAAACAGAGAGCCAAATCATGAGTGAATTCCCATTCACGATTGCTACTAAGAGAATAAAATACCTAGGAATACAACTTACAAGGGATGTGAAGGACCTCTTCAAGGAGAACTACAAACCACTGCTCAAGGAAATAATAGAGGACACAAACAAATGGAAAAGCATTCCATGCTCATGGATTAGAAGAATCAATATTGTCAAAATGGCCATTCTGCCCAAAGTAATTTATAGATTCAATGCTATCTCCATCAAGCTACCATTGACTTTCTTCACAGAACTAGAAAACACTACTTTAAATTTCATATGGTACCAGAAAAGAGCCTGTATAGCCAAGACAATACTAACCAAAAAGAACAAAGCTGGAGGCATCACGCTACCTGACTTCAAACTATACTACAAGGCTACAGTAACAAAAACAACATGGTACTAGTACCAAAACAGATATATAGACCAATGGAACAGAACAGAGGCCTCAGAAATAATGCCACACATCTACAACCATCTGATCTTTGAGAAACCTGACAAAAACAAACAATGGGGAAAGGATTCCCTATTTAATAAATGGTGTTGGGAAAACTGGCTAGCCATATGCAGAAAACTGAAACCGGACCCCTTCCTTATACCTTATACAAAAATCAACTAAAGATAGATTAAAGACTTAAATGTAAGACCTAAAACCATAAAAATCCTAGAAGAAAACTTGGACAGTACCATTCAGGACATAGGCATGGGCAAAGACTTCATGACTAAACCACCAAAAGCCATGGCAACAAAAGCCAAAATTGACAAATGGAATCTAATTAAACTAAAGAGCTTCTGCACAGCAAAAGAAACTATCATCAGAGTGAACAGGCAGCCTACAGAATGGGAGAAAATTATTCTAATCTATCCATCTGACAAAGGGCTAATATCCAGAATCTACAAGACACTTAAATTTAGAAGAAAAAAAAACAACCCCATCAAAAAGTGGGTAAAGGATATGAACAGACGCTTTTTAAAAGAAGACATTTATGCAGCCAAAAAACATGAAAAAAAGCTCATCATCACTGGTCATTACAGAAATGCAAATCAAAACCACAATGAGATACCATCTCACGCCAGTTAGAATGGTGATCATTAAAAAGTTAGGAAGCAACGGATGCTGGAGAGGATGTGGAGAAATAGGAAAGCTTTTACACTGTCAGTGGGAGTGTAAATTAGTTCAACCATTGTGGAAGACAGTGTGGCAATTCCTCAAGGATCTAGAAGTAGAAATACCATTTGACCCACCAATCCCATTACTGGATATATACCCAAAGGATTATAAATCATTCTACTATTAAGACACATGCACACGTATGTATATTTCAGCACTTCACAATAGCAAAGACTTGGAACCAACCCAAATGTCCATCAATGATAGACTGGATAAAGAAAATGTGGCACATATACACCATGGAATACTATGCAGCCATAAAAAAGGGATGAGTTCACGTCCTTTGCAGAGACATGGATGACGCTGGAAACCATCATTCTCAGTAAACTATCACAAGAACAGAAAACCAAACACCGCATGTTCTCACTCATAAGTGGGAGTCAAACAAGGAAAACACATGAACACAGGGAGTGGAACACCACACACCGGGGCCTTTCAGGGGTTTGGGGGCTAGGGTAGGGATAGCATTAGGAGAAATACCTAATGTAGGTGACAGGTTGATGAGTGCAGGCAAACCACCATAGCACGTGTATACCTATGTAACAAAACCGCACACTCTACACATGTACCCCAGAACAAAGTATAATAAAAAAAAAAAGAAAAAAAAAGAAAATAAGAAGGAGGAGGAAGATGATAAGAAAGAGTTCTGGTGCTGTCAGTCTGATAAACACCAGGCCAGATGATCTCTATGTTTCCTTCTATCATTATTTTTCTCTAATGGTATCACTAGACGTAACCCAAAGACAAACAATTAATGGCCGGGCGCAGTGGCTCATGCCTGTAATCACAGCACTCTGGGAGGCCGAGGCAGGTGGATCACCTGAGGTCAGGAGTTCAAGACCAGCCTGGCCAACAAGTGAAACCCTGTCTCTACTAAAAATACAAAAATTAGCCGGGCATGGTGGCAGGTGCCTGTACTCCCCACTACTTGGGAGGCTGAGATAGGAGAATTGCTTGAACCCGGGAGGCAGAGGTTGCAGTGAGCCAAGAAGGCATGCCACTGCACTCCAGCCTGGGCGACAGAGAAAGACTCTGCCTCAAAAAAGAAAAGAGAGAAAAAAGAAAAAAATTAAGACAACATCAAATGAGGAATCATAGTAAGAATTAGGAATGTGTGACCTAAGAGGAAAAAATATAACTCTGATACTCTAACAAGGACTGGACTTGTATAATAATGAGATAATCTACAATGAGGAGATGAGCCCTCACCCACTCATGCCACGTCACTTGCTGCTTACTATTCTTCTACACTGAACCCGAGTTTGGTCTAGATCAGATTTTTTACGTGCAATTCAAGACCCACTTGTAAAATTTTCCTAGTACCATTATTCCAATGTATTCCAGTATATTCCTCTACATTAATTACTTTTTCATATAAATGAATTTGGAGTTTATTATTTCCCTTCCTAATACACTCCAAAATATATACATAATTATTAAAATGATATTCAACCATAGACTAACTAAAATCACATTCATCAACTGACTGGGCTAGACAACTCTTCCAAATCTAAGTATCAATGGTCAAATAGTCTTCAAAATATATGAACTTGCTCAAAATTACATTCATACCAAAAGCCTCACTTTCCCCACTTATTTCATGGTTTGCTCATGAAGCCTAAATAATAATTTTTTAATGCAAAATATAAGAAAACACTTCTTTTAGCTTAGCTTCTTGGGTTCTTTAGTTCCCATGCCTGTTTCTTTTGCTCTTGGTCACGTAATTGCAAAGAATGATATTTCATTACTTGATGTTGTAAATAAGATGCCTGTGAAGATTCCTGTTTTGGAAAAATGTCAACTCTATATTGCCAACAGCTAGGAACATGGCAGCCTTGTAATAAGAAAAGGAAAAATTTCCCAGCTTAGCATTTCCAGAATGAAATTAATTATGAGAATTCAACTTTTTCTAAGTCTCTGGGTATTCAAGCCTTTCTCTCTGAAAGTTAGTTATAAATGATTTTGTACTTTCTATGCTGGGTAATGTTGGAAAATTTCATAACCTGAAGAGGAGTTGAAGCATTGAAATATGATTTAACCACTTTACTCCAGCTTCCAGGGACCCTTTCAGTGCTACCTGGGCTGGCTCCTTCTGCTCCAAGAATCATTGATATTCTCTGTGCCCATCATTTCCTAGCCTTGACCACCGCTTGAGCTCAGCTTTGTTATTTTTATAACAAAGTGCCTGTACCACTGAGACACTGTTAAAATTGCCTATGCAGGCATCCTGTCAGCTAAATAGGCCTGAAATCTTACCTGGTTGTGATTACTTCCCTCTTGCTTCTCACTTGTAAGCATTGTCTTTCCACAGTCCAGCTAATAAGACATTCATTTTGGATACATTAATTCAACAGACATTTATTAGCTTCCATTTTGTGCCATATATTATATGAGATTTTGTGGAAGATATATCAGTGAATAAAACACTCTAACTTCAATAAGCAAAAATGTATAGAACCAATAGTTAAGACAGATGATAGGTCAATTCCTCCCTACCTCCAATCACTGTAATGGTAGTATCATGAAGACAAAAATCATATTTTATAAATTATATTCTCAGCACCTAGAAATGTGCCTGGTCCTTAATAGCAGTTAATAAAATATATTTTCTATGACTAGAAAGACTATGCAAAAACTCAGTGAAAAGAAAAGTTTTTTTTGGCTAGGGATATCAGAGAAGTTTCTTGGAAGAAGTGGCAACTGAAGTAGACCTTAAAGAAGAGATCAAAACTGAAATTTGTAAAATGTTGCTTTGCTTATAAAAGTAATATAAACATATTCTGAAAATATTGGACACATAAATGTGTTTTTAATGTTTAAATTATTCATACATATAACAACCAAGAAGTCTAAATGGATGTGGCAGAAAAGGAGCTTACAGACTCTCTCCCTTAATACCTAATAAGTACCTCCAAATTACAAAAAAACTTAATATAATTTTTTTAGTTAACAAAAATGGAAAAAGTAGGAGTAGCATCCTGGCATGTACAGTGGTAAGAAGGGGAAAAAAATGCTAATCCCTTTTGCTTGGTGCCTAATCCACCTCAGCTCCAGGAGATATAATGGTAAATTATAATAATAATATTCCTATAATTCTCATGAATATCCACAAATTTGAAAAGCAGTAAACTGTGGAAGGGTTTTTAAAATTTTCTCCTTCTGATGTAAACAATGTTGAGAGGACTGATGTAAACGATTGATGGAAAGTGAAAGTGAAAACTGAGTGGACTTCCTTTTCCAGAAGGAAAGACTCAAATTTCTATGAGGAAATGGGGAAACAATTCCAGCTTCAAGAGTATCTTCTAACATCTCCATTCCACCATGAGATTAAGAAACACTACCACAAATAGGATTAACAAAATTGTAGAAAAGAGCTCAAGATCCAGTTTTATTTTCTGGAAATCAGTAGTAGTCATATTATCATATTTTGTATATCAGGTATTTGTATTATCCAGTCTTATGGCATTATTATTTTGTACTTTCATCTTCAAATGCCCTATTTTTATTGATTGGCAACATAAATTCTAAGTATGAGCAACTTCCTTAGTCTCAGCTTTCACTCTTCTGTCACACCTAAGCCAATTCAATTTAAAAATATTAGACCCATCATTACTCAGATAAAACAGATTATTAAGAGTAACAGAAAATTCACTCATATTACATCAACCAACCAAAAGACTAAGACATTTTACACTAAGTGTAAGCAATTTTTTAAAGAGAGAGAAAAAGTCAGGCAAGTGTGCAAAAATGCTATAGTAAAACATTGAAAGAATGAAAGGTGGCATGCAAAAGGCATTCTGAAGAACCTCAATTGGAAGAAAACATATGCAATGAAACAAAGGACAATTCTCCACAATAGCTTCACGTTACTCAAAATCCAATACAATTTAATAAAACAAGAAATCAGATACCAAATGGTGAAAGAACAGAATGAAATTAAATGGCTGATTGCATAGCTAATGAAACAAATTAAGAGCCAAGATATCATAATTATAAAACTGATAAATTACAAACAAAAGAAATTGGACAGACACAGCTGTAAAGTGGATGACTGACATAAAGCAAAGATTTAATAGAATCACAATGAAAGACTAAAGAACAAAATCAAAACAATTATAGATAATCAATATGGAGGACAAAGATGATCTAAATTATACATATCTGGTATCCCTGAAAAGATATTCAACCATAAAAACAGGTAAAAAATAGAAATTATCCCAGAAATGGAGCAAGAACCAAATCTGCATACTGAAAAAGCACACCATAGTAAAATAAAACTTGAGGTACAGGTATCAAAACCCGAGTGTTACTGTATATGTGTATATACATATATAGAGAATGTAATATGTATTATACAATACATATATTTTCTATCTTTTTCTATGTAAGGCAAAAATAAATCTGGCCTAATAATTCTCCTCAGCAATATCCATTATCAAAAGAGAATAAAGGGATATATGTGCAAAGTTCTAAGAGAAACAAAATATGACTAAATAACATTATATCCTACCAAACTGTCTTTCAAGTACAAAGGTAAAATTTTTTAACATGAAAGAGCTCAGGAAGTACAAATCTTGCAAGTCCTTCCTGGGGAAAAGTCAAAAAACTAATATAAAATTAAATCCAGTCAATGAACACATGAATGTAAAGTCTGAGCCTATTAGGACCAATATACCATCCAAAGACAAAAGATATTACAGCAAGGTTCACAACGTTATGAGGCAATTGAATTTAATATACACTTGTTGACTGACTGAATAACTTCATTCAGGTTAAAAGCAAATAAACAATAATAGCAGAAAACTTGCCAAGTCTTGGGCGAGAGATGGACATCGAGATCCAGGAAGCTCAAAGAACTCCAAACAGATTCAACCCAAAATGATTCTCTCTGAGGCACATTAGAGTCAAATTGTCAAAAGTCAAAAATGAAGAACTGTAAAAACAGCAATAGAAAAGCATCAAGTCACATACAAGAAAATCTCCATTGGACTAACAGCAGAGTTCTCAGCAGAAACTTAAAAGGCCAGTAGAGAACAGGTGATATATTCGAACTACTGAAAGGAAAAAAAAATGGCTGGGCACAGGGGCTCATGCCTGTAATCCCAGCACTTTGGGAGGCCAAGGCGGGCAGATCACCTGTCAGAAGTTCGAGACCAGCCTGAACAACATGGTGAAACCCCATCTCTACTAAAAATACAAAAATTAGCTGGGCATGGTGGCAGGTGCTTGTATTCCCAGCTACTTGGGAGGCTGAGGTGGGAGAAATGCTTGAACTCAGGAGGTGGAGGTTGCGGTGAGCTGAGATCTCGCCACTGCACTCCCCCCTGGGTGACACAGTGAGACTTTGCCTCAAAAAAAAAAAATAGCTGGTAAGGATGCAGAGAAAAAAGAACTCTTCTACTCTGATGGTAGAAGAGTTCTGCCACAGTGCAGTGTAGTACAGAGGATCCTCAAAAAACTACAAATAGAACTGTAAGACCCAGCAATCCCACTACTGAGAATCTATCCAAAGGAAAGGAAATGATATCAAAGAGACATCCATAACCCCATGTTTATTGCTGCACTATTCACATTAGCCAAGATATGGAATCATCCTAAGTGTCCAACAACAGATGAATGGGTAAAGAAACATGATATGTATAGTGGAATACTATTCCACCATGAAAAAAATGAAATCCTGTCATTCACAGAAACATGGATATAACTGGAAGACATTAAGTAAAATAAGCAAGGAACAAAAAGTTAAACACCCCATGTTCAAACTCATAGGTAGAAGCTGAAAAATGTTGATATTATAGAAGTTAAAATTATAACAGAGGACACTAGAGGCTAGAAGGGGTAAGGAGAAGGGAGAGATAAGGGAAGATTTGGTGAAGTATGCACAATTACAGCTAGACAACAGGAGTAAGATCTAGTGTTCTATACCACTGTAAGTGGACCACAGTTAACAATAACATATAATTTCACATAGCTAGAAGGAGGATATTGAATGTTCTCATCACAAATAAATGATAAATGTTTGCAATAATAAATATGCTAATTACATCATTATGTACTCCATGAATTTGTACAATTAGTATGTCAATTTTTAAAAAATTTAAAAGGTTATGTACTATTCGACTTGCTCCTAGGGGCTGCCAAGATATCATTGACCTGTCCCTTAGGAATACATGACTCTATTCTGCTATCAAAATTTTATTTCCCAAAAAATATAATTAGGCATATAGAATTGATCCCCAAGTAAGTCCTATTCTTTTTAACTTCCACTGTATTGCTCACCTGATTTTGCTTCTGCACAAAGAGCTGTTATCTCTATTTCCAGGCCCTCCCTACATATTACCATTATGGACAATCTAGTAATATATTTCAAAAACTTTAAGTATCTTCATGCCTTTGACACAATAAATTCTCTTCCAGAAATTTGTATTAAAAAATAGAGGCATGGTGGCTAGCAAAATCGCCCAATAGGAACAGCTCTGGTCTGCAGCACCCAGCGAGATCAACCCAAAAGGTGGGCGATTTCTGCATTTCTAACTGAGGTACCTGGCTCATCTCATTGGGACTGGTTAGACAGTGGGTGCAGCCCACAGAGGGTGAGCCAAAGCAGGGTGGGGTGTCACCTCACCTGGGAAGTGCAAGGGGTCAGGGAACTCCCTCCCCTAGCCAATAAAAGCCATGAGGGACTGTGCTGTGAGGAATGGTGCACTCTGGCCCAGATACTATGCTTTTCCCATGGTCTTTGCAACCCACAGACCAGGGGATTCTCTCAGGTGCCTACACTACCAGGGCCCAGGGTTTCAAGCACAAAACTGGGTGGCCATTTGGGCAGACACCAAGCTAGCTGCAGGAGGTTTTTTTCATACCTCAGGGGTGCCTAGAATGCCAGCAAGACAAAACTGTTCACTCCCCTGAAAAAAGGGCTGACGCCAGGGAGCCAAGTGGTCCAGCTTAGCAGATCACAACCACACGGAGCCTAGCAAGCTAAGATCCACTAGTGTGAAAATCTCACTGTGAGAATAGAAGTCTGAAGTCGACCTGAGACACTTGAGCTTGGTAGGGGGAAGGACATCCGCCATTACTGAGGCTTGAGTAGGTAGTTTCCCCTCACAGTGTAAACAAAGCCACCAGGAAGTTCAAACTGGGTGGAGCCCACCGCAGCTCAGCAAAGCTGCTGTAGCCAGACTGCCTCTCTAAGTTCCTCCTCTCTGGGCAGGGTATCTCTGAAAGAAAGGCAGCAGCCCCAGTCAGGGGCTTACAGATAAAACTCCCATCTTCTAGGGACAGAGCACCTAGGGGAAGAGGTGGCTGTGGGTGCAGCTTCAGCAGACTTAAACGTTCCTGCCTGCTGGCTCCGAAAAAAGCAGCAGATCTCCGAGCACAGTGCTCAAGCTCTGCTAAGGGACAGACTGCCTCCTCAAGTGGGTCCCCGACCTCTGTGCCTCCTGACTGGGAGACAAATCCCAGCAGGGGTGGACAGACACCTCATACAGGAGAGCTCTGGCTGGCATCTGGTGGGTGCCCCTCTGGGATGAAGCTTCCAGAGGAAGGAACAAGCAGCAATCTTTGCTGTTCTGCAGCCTCTGCTGGTGATACCCAGGCAAACAGGGTCTGGAGTGGACCTCCAGCAAACTCCAGCAGACCTACAGAGGAGGGGCCTGACTGTTAGAAAAAAAAAAAACAAACAGAAAGGAAGAGCATCAACATCAACAAAAAGGACATCCACACAGAAACCCCACCAGAAGGTCACCAACATCAAAAACCAAAGGTAGATTAATCCATGAAGATGAGGAAAAACCAGCGTAAACGGCTGAAATTTCCAAAAACCACAACACCTCTTCTCCTCCAAAGGATTACAACTCCTCGCCAGCAAGGAAACAAAACTAGATAGAGAATGAGTTTGACGAATTGACAGAAGGAGGCTTTGGAAAGTGGGTAATAACAAACTCCTCCAAGCTAAATAAGCATGTTCTAACCCAATGCAAGGAAGCTAAGAACTGTGAAAAAAGGTTAGAAGAGGCCGAGCACAGTGGCTCATGCCTATAATCCCAGCACTTTGGGAGGCCAGGCGGGCAGATCACGAGGTCAGGAGTTCAAGATCAGCCTGACCAACATAGGAAGACCCTGTCTCTAGTAAAAATACAAAAATTAGCCAGGTGTGGTGGCACGCACGAGTAATCCCAGCTACTTGGGAGGCTGAGGCAGGAGAATCACTTGAACCTGGGAGGCAAAGGTTGAAGTGAGCCGAGATCACACCATTGCACTCCAGCCTGAGTGACAGAGTGAGACTCCATCTCAAAAAAAAAAAGGGGGGGGAGGTTAAAGAAATTGCTAACTTGAATAACCAGTTTAGAGAAGAATATAAATGACCTGATGGAGCTCAAAAACACAGCACAAGAACATCGTGAAACATACACAAATATCAACAGCCGAATCAGTCAAGAAGAAAAAAGGATATCAGAGATTGAAGATCAACTTAATGAAATAAAGCATGAAAACAAGATAAGAGAAAAAAGAATGAAAAGGAACAAACAAAGCCCTCAAGAAATATGGGACTATGTGAAAAGACCAAACCTACAATTGATGGGTGTACCTGAAAGTGACAGAGAGAATAGAACCAAGTTGGAAAACACACTTCAGGATATTATCCAGGAGAACTTCTCCAACCTAGCAATACAGGCAAACATTCAAATTCAGGAAATACAGAAAACACCACAAAGATACTCCTTGAGAACAGCAACCCCAAGACACATAATTGTCAAATTCACCAAGGCTGAAATGAAGGAAAAAAATGTTAAGGGCAGCCAGAGAGAAAGGTCAGGTTGCCCACAAAGGGAAGCCCATCAGATTAACAGCAGATCTCTCAGCAGAAATTCTACAAGCCAGAAGATAGTGGGGGCCAATATTCAACATTTTTAAAGAAAAAAATTTTCATCCCAGAATTTCGTATGCAGCCAAATTAAGCTTCATAAGTGAAAGAGAAATAAAATCCTTTACAGACAAGCAAATGCTGAGAGATTTTTGTCACCACTAGGCCTACCTTACAAGAGCTCCTGAAGGAAGCACTAAACATGGAAAGGAACAGCCACTACCAGCCACCGCAAAAACATACCAAATTGTAAAGACCATCAATAATATGAAGAAACTGCATCAACTAATGGGCCAAATAACCACTTAGCATCATAATGACAGGATCAAATTCACACATAACAGTATTAACCTTAAATGTAAATGGGATAAATGCCCCCAGTTAAAGAACACAGACTGGCAAACTGGATAAAGAGTCAAGACCTATCAGTGTGCTGTATTCAGGAGACCCATCTCATGTGCAAAGACACACATAGACTCAAAATAAAGGGATAGAGGATTATTTACCAAGCAAATGAAAAGCGAAAAAAGCAGGGGTTGCAATCCTAGTCTCTGATAAAACAGACTTTAAACCAACAAAGATCAAAAAAGACAAAGAAGGGCATTCCATAATGGTAAAGGGATCAATGCAACAAGAAGAGCTAACTATCCTAAATATATATGCACCCAATACAGGAGCACCCAGATTCATAAAGCAAGTTCTTAGAGACCTACAAACAGACTTAGACTCCCACACAATAGTGGGAGACTTTAACACCCCACTGTCAATATTAGAAAGATCAACGTGACAGAAAATTAACACGGATCTTCAGGACTTGAACTCAGCTCTGGACCAAGCAGATCTAATAGACATCTACAGAAATCTCCACCCCAAATCAACACAATATATGTTCTTCTCAGCACCACATCACACTTATTCAAAAATTGACCACATAATTGCAAGTAAAACACTCCTCAGCAAATGCAAAAGAACAGAAATTCATAACAAACAGTCTCTCAGACCACAGAGCAATCAAATTAGAACTCAGAATTAAGAGGACTCACTCAAAACTGCACAACTACATGGAAACTGAACAACCTGCTCCTGAATGACTACTGGGTAAATAACGAAATTAAGGCAGAAATAAAGATGTTCTTTGAAACCAATGAGAATGAAGATACAATGTACCAGAATCTCTGGTACACGTTTGAAGCAGTGGGTAGAGGGAAATTTGTAGAACTAAATGCCAACAGAAGAAAGCAGAAAATATCTAAAATTGACATCCAAACAGCACAATTAAAAGAACTAGAGAAGCAAGAGCAAAAAAAATTCAAAAGCTAGTAGAAGACAAGAAATAACTAAGATCAGAGCAGAGCTGAAGACGGGAGAGACATGAAAAACCCTTCAAAAAAATCAATGAGTCCAGGAGCTGTTTTTTTTTTTAAGATTACAAAATAGATAGACCACTAGCCAGAACAATAAAGAAGAAAGGAGAGAAGAATCAAAAAGAAGCAATAAAAAATGATACAGGGGATATCACCACTGATTACATACAAATACAAACTAACATCAGAGAATACTATAAACACCTCTATGCAAATAAAGTAGAAAATCTAGAAGAAATTGATAAATTCCTGGACACACACACCCTCCCAAGTCTAAACCAGGAAGAAGTCGAATCCCTGAATAGACAAATAACAAGTTCTGAAATTGAGACAGTACCTACCTTGCCTCCCAGTACCAGGCTATTGCCTACCAACCAAAATAAGCCCAAGACCAGATGGATTCACAGCTGAATTCTATCAGAGGTACAAAGAGGAGCTTGTACCATTCCTTCTGAAACTATTCCAAACAAAAGAAAGAGAGGGAATCCTCCCTAACTCATTTTATGAGGCCAGCATCATCCTGATACCAAAATCTGGCAGAAACACAACAAAAAAAGGAAAATTTCAGGCCAATATCCCTGATGAATATTGATGCAAAATTCTTCAATAAAATACTGGCAAACAAAATCTAGCAACACATCAAAAAGCTTATCCACCACAATCAAGTCAACTTCAGCCCTGGGGTGCAATTCTGGTTCAACATATACAAATCAATAAACGTAATCCATCACATAAACAGAACCAATGATAAAAACCACACGATTATCTCAATAGATGCAGAAAAGGCCTTTCATAAATTTCAACACCCCTTCATGCTAAAAAGTCTGAATAAACGAGAGATTGATGGAACATATCTCAAAATAATAAGACCTATTTATGACAAACCCACAGCCAATGTCATACTGAACTGGCAATAGCTGAAAGCATTCCCTTTGAAAACTGGCCCAAGACAAGAATGCCCTCTCTCACCACTCCTATTCAACATAGCATTGGAAGTTCTGGCCACAGCAATTAGGCAAGATAAAGAAATAAAGGGTATTCAAATAGGAAGAGAGGAAGTCAAATTGTCTGCTTGTATATGACATGATTGTATATTTAGAAAACCCCATTGTCTCAGCCCAAAATCTCCTTAAGCTGGTAACTTCAGCAAAGTCTCAGGATACAAAATCAATGAGCAAAAATCACAAGCATTCCTATACACCAATAATAGACAAACAGAGAGCCAAATCATGAGTGAATTCCCATTCACAATAGCTACTAAGAAAATAAAATGCCTAGGAATACAACTTACACAGGATGTGAAGGACCTCTTCAAGGAGAACTACAAACCACTGCTCAAAGAAATAAGAGAGGACACAAACAAATGGAAAAAACATTCCATGCTCTTGGATAGGAAGAATCAATATCATGAAAATGGCCATACTACCCAAAGTAATTTATAGATTCAATGCTATCTCCATCAAGCTACCATTGACTTTCTTCACAGAACTAGAAAAAAATACTTTAAATTTCATATGGAACCCAAAGAGCCCACATAGCCAAAATACTCCTAAGCAAAAAGAACAAAGCTGGAGGCATCACACTGCCTGACTTCAAACTATACTACAAGGCTACAGTAACCAAAACAACATGGTACTGGTACCGAAACTGATATATAGACCAATGGAACAGAACAGAGGCCTCAGAAATGATGCCACACATCTACAACCATCTGATCTTTGAGAAACCTGACAAAAACAAACAATGGGGAAAGGATTCCCTATTTAATAAATGGTGTGGGAAAACTGGCTAGCCATATGCAGAAAACTGAAACTGGACCCCTTCCTTACACCTTATACAAAAATCAACTAAAGATAGATTAAAGACTTAAGACCTAAAACCATTAAAACCCTAGAAGAAAATCTAGGCAATACCATTCAGGACATAGGCATGGGCAAAGACTTCATGACTAAAACACCAAAAACAATGGCAACAAAAGCCAAAATTGACAAATGGGCTCTAATTAAACTAAAGAGCTTCTGCACAGCAAAAGAAACTATCATCAGAGTGAACAGGCAACCTATGGAATGGGAGAAAATTTTTCCAATCTATCCATATGACAAAGGGCTAATATCCAGAATCTACAAGAAATTTAAACAAATTTACAAGAAAAAAACAAACATTTTTCCATCAAAATGTGGGCAAAAGACATGAACAGACAATCCTCAAAAGAAGACATTTATGTGGCCAAAAAACATGCAAAAAAGCTCATCATCACTGGTCATTAGAGAATTGCAAATCAAAACTACAATGAGATACCATCTCACACCAGTTAGAATGGCGATCATTAAAAAGTCAGGAAACAACAGATGCTGGAGAGGATGTGGAGAAATAGGAAAGCTTTTACACTGTCAGTGGGAGTGTAAATTAATTCAACCATTGCAGAAGACAGTGTGGCAACTCCTCAAGGATCTAGAACCAGAAATACCATTTGACCCAGCAATCCCATTACTGGGGATATACCCCAAAGGATTATAAATCATTCTACTATAAAGACACATGCACACATATGTTTATTTCAGCACTGTTCACAATAGCAAAGACTTGGAACCAACCCAAATGTCCATCAATGATAGACTGGATAAAGAAAATGTGGCATATATACACCATGGAATACTATGCAGCCATAAAGTAGGATGAGTTCATGTCCTTTGCAGGGACATGGAAGAAGCTGGAAACCATCATTCTCAGCAAACTAACACAGGAACAGAAAACCAAACACCACATGTTCTCACTTATAAGTGGGAGCTGAACAATGAGAACACATGGACACAGGGAGGGGAACATCACACACTGGGGCCTGTCAGGGGGTGGGAGACTAGGGGAGGGATCGTATTCACAGAAATACCTGATGCAGATGACGGGTTGATGGGTACCGCAAACCACCATGGCACATGTATGCCTACGTAACAAACCTGCACGTTCTGCACATGTATCCCAGAACTTAGAGCATAATTTTAAAAAAATTTGAGGTATAAGTAAATATGTTTGTTACATATTTATTTATATGTATTAATAACAACATAGTTTCATAAGCAATATAAATGCTCCCAAATAAATAATTAAATTATGGTATATAAAAAGAATATTAACTTGAAAATTATTGTGATATCAACATAAATACAATTGAAGAATGCATGGAATAATGAGGGTGCAATAAATAAGAGTTTACATATATTTGATAAGATTCAAAATGTGTAAAAAAAAGATAAAAATAATAACGGAAAAAATACATACTCTGATTCTCTTTGTGATTTAAAGAAATAATTTTATTATTTTTACCAAAAAATAATGAAAATTTTAAGGTATACAGTAAGTACAAATTTGAGAAGAAAAATAGTCACCCAAAATCCATATTCCAATATATTATCATTAATCTCAGATGAGCATAATTCCAGATATTTCTGTGTTTATGACTTCACATGTGTGCATATGTATGTGTATAACATAATTAAAATTATTATAATATAGATATACCTTCAAATTAAATGTAATAAATGTAATTGTATGTGAATTTAATAGAAAAATATTAGGCAAATAAAAAGACCCATTAGACTATAGGAAACAGGTTTTTTACTTATGAAATGTTATCTCTTAAAATATCTCTATTAAAATGGAAAGGATGGAAGATCATTAAGAAGCTAGGGTCATGGCCGGGCACGGTGGCTCACGCCTGTAATCCCAGCACTTTGGGAGGCCGAGGCAGGTGGATCACGAGGTCAGGAGATCGAGACCATCCTGGCTAACACGATGAAACCTCGTGTCTACTAAAAATACAAAAAAAATTAGCCAGGCGCGGTGGCGGGCACCTATAATCCCAGCTACTCGGGAGGCTGAGGCAGGAGAATGGCGTGAACCCAAGAGGCGGAGCTTGCAGTGAGCCGAGACAGCGCCACTGCAGTCCGGCCTGGGCAAAACAGCGAGACTCCGTCTCAAAAAACAAAAGAAGCTAGGGTCATTTTTTCTTTACTATCATGTTTTCATTTTGGATAATGTCATTTGAGTCTCTATGATTAAAATGTCAGAATTCACACTCTTATACTTTATTCTCTCCTCCACATTCATGTTCTTTTTAGCTTTGTGATTTTCACATTACCAAGTATATAACATTTCTGTTCTAATTTGTAATCACCATGTTCACAGTTAATCTTCATTCTATATTTATGCTCACCACCTGCCCAGAAACCAGAACTCTTCCATAGCCATTTTATTTATTTGGATTCATCACTTCATAGTCTAGACATTTTTTTCCAGCGAGTGCTAACAAATCTTGATTTTTCTCATTCCCGCATACTTGAGATAATGAGATTGTTTGTATGTATACCCAAAGGATAGCTTTACTGGGTATAAATTTGCTTTGAGTTGTACTACTGTGACCTGAAGTCTTATTCTCTTCCACTGCAAAATGTTCATCCACATTTAAACTACCACAGCACTGAGCACATTGTCCAGCACTTCAAACAAAGTACAGTAACTTAAAGTCACTGAGACACTGCCTGCGTAGAGGTATAAACCAGCAAGGAGCACTGGTATTAGTCCTTGGTGAAAAAACATAGTTTCTATTCCTGTATTCATTACCAACTCTTATACCACTCTGAGTTCCCTTCAACAGGGAGAGGTGCTACTATTGCTAATAAACGTTTATACTCCAAATACGAAACTATAATATTCTACAAATATTAAATATATTTAAATTTTTAAGAGTCCATATCTGATTCCTAATCTCAACTCTTTGTAGACCTTTAACTACAGTTTCTCCCTTTGTAGAATATAAAAATAGGACTATAGATAATCTCTACAGTACATGGCTTAAATTCAAATACCCAGGTAGTACACCTGGATAAAATGGTCTGAGTTTTATTGCAATGGCATCTTAAACTATATTTTTAACACAAGTATTCAGTATTCATTTCCACAAACACATGTTCTCTCACTTTTAATGAAAAATAAAGCCCTTTCAGTTCATCTTTTATTTTCCCACTTTGATAAAGAAACATACTTATGATTTTAATTTTAATTCTACTACAAAATTAATAACAGCAGCATATGCAATTGATATGCCACTTACCCTCAGTGTTGGCCAAAACAAACTGAAGACTGAGGCAAACTAAAGAATCCCTGCCTACCCTATTCTTTCTTTCTTTTTTTTTTTTTTTTTTTTGTTTTTTTTGAGACAGAGTCTCGCTCTGTCACCCAGGCTGGAGTGCAGTGGAGCAACCTCAGCTCACTGCAAGCTCTGCCTCCCGGGTTCATGCCATTCTCCTGCCTCAGCCTCCCGAGTAGCTGGGACTGCAGGTGCCTACCACCACTTCCGGCTAATTTTTTTTTTTGTATTTTTAGTAGAGATGTGGTTTCACTGTGTTAGCCAGGATGGTCTCGATCTCCTGACCTCGTGATCCACCCACCTCAGCCTCCCAAAGTGCTGGGATTACAGGCATGAGCCACCGCGCCCAGCCCTGCCTACCCTATTCAAAAGGGGCAGCTGCTTCTTTCTTCCAGCAGTGTTTTCAGTTCTGTTTGTTTTGTTCTCACAAGAGAAGCTGGAAATCTGTATTTTTGTATGGAATCTCCCAATTTAGAAATGTTAGCAACTGCTACAAATATTTTAAAATACTGCATTAACCAAAAATGTTTTAAAATGATGATGAATATGTAGCCTGAAGACTGCTAAGTTTGTAATTTCCTTTCTAAAATTTCTCCAACTCTAACATGTAACAAATGTCTTTACTCAGAGTGGAGGTAGAGGGTGAGTACGATACACGGTTATTCTGCTGTGAGTGGTTCTGAAATCTCTATTCTTATATAGCACTGGACTATGCAAATAAGTTTCTCTGATCCTTCACTAAAGAAATAATACTGTGTGCAAAGCACCTGCTGAATACAGTGGAGGGACTCAAAGATGATTTGTGTGGGTTACACGCAATGCAGCAGATCAGGCCTTTGAGCTTTATCATACAAAGAGATGGTACTTAGGTTTCTGATTTTTAATAACCATATACCCTAGTGGTTTGCAGCAAACAAATCACTTGCACATCCTTTGTCTCACAGGATGCTCATATCAACTGAGAAATAGAGCTGAGGTTGGTGTTTCCATTGCACAGATAAGCAAACAATTCAGCAATTGCTGAAGACTTATCTAATGTCATAGAGTTAATAAGTAGGAGAGTTGGGACTCAAAATCTTGTCTTCTGATTCACAATTCTTTGATTTCTTCTTTTTCTGATACACCACACCGGCTCACCCTAATCTGCGCAATTGCACGCCCTTATAAGACAGCCAGGTAGAGTCAGGGGTATAGTCAGTCCACTTTCACAGAGAGGGAAAAGCAAATATGCCATATAAGACTTTAATTCATAATCTTATTCACTTAGATCTCATGCTGAAACCACCAAACACATTGGCTATTCTTATTACAGTTATAAAATCCAAGATCTGTGGTGCCCTTTTCAATATTAATGTGCCATCAGTAGATCTTTAATCTTTTAATCCAGAATTACCGTAATCTTTTTTTAAAGAAATAGTTTCTCTTATGAGTTTGGTGCAGTGACAAGGCCCAAGACCATGGCAATCATGTAAGGTATGATTATTACTTTTTGAAAACTGTTATATCAATTTCTTCTTTCACCCAAGATGGATTAATAGGGACTAGATTTACTCTCCCACCGAAACTAAAACCCTAGACAAAATACATGTAAGGAATGGTTTCCAAGACATTAGGCAACTGAGGAAAATGATCCTGAGAGATGGGAAACAAACAAGCTGCCCATGATTGCTCTTTCTGCCTTGAAAATCTTTTAAACCATACCAGAGGCAATCCACGCAGAGCCCAGTGGGTTCCCTGACTGGAGACTAAGAGATTGGGCAAACCAAGGTGCCTAGAGTTCATAGGGCAGAGAATTGTAAAGGGGAGAGCTAAAGAGGGAATTCCAGAGATCTGGAGATGATCCGCCTCAAGTATTCAGCACAGTACTGGTTAGCATGTGTGTGGATAAAAAAACTGAAGGCCAGGAAACCACATGAAAGGATTAAAGGGAGCAATACAGAATGCTCACAGAGGGCTGGGAATAAAGCCTATTGCTACCACCCACACCCACCAAGAAACCTCATAAATTATAGGATGTTGAATAAATAACTCAGAAAGGACCTGCTTCAGTAGTGGAGAATAATATGCCCTAGAATAAAAATTGCTCTGGTCTCAGCTAGCAACTTAAACTTAAAAGCAAGATCTGAAAGAATAAAACTGTTTCCAAGTTAACTAACTCTCTTCCAGAAAAAAAGCTCAAGAATATTTATAGGGAAACAAAATATTCAGCACCTAACAAAGTAAAACTCACAGTATGTCATCCAGTAAAAAATTACCAGGCATGAAAGTAAGCAGGAAAACATATAACCATCTCCTCCTATAATCAGGAGAAAAATCAACCAATTAAAATTGACCCAGAACTCACATGAATTAGCAGACTAAAACAGCAAAACATTATAACATATACTCTATATATACACAAAAGTAGAGGAAAGATTTAAAATGTTAATCTTAGTGACATGGAAGGAAATTTTTAAGACCAAAATCAAACTTCTAGATGTGAAAACAACAATACTTGAGATAAAAAATATACTGAATGTGATTAGTTGCAGATTAGACATTACAGAGGAAAATATTATCAACTTGTATATCAATAGAAACTACCCAAAATGAAACAGAGAAAATAGATTCAAAAACAAAACAAAGCTTGAGGTGATCTAACATCTCTGTACTGAGGGATCCCTGAAAGTGTGGGTGAGGGAGGCAGGAAAAAATTTGTTTTAATGGTCCAAATATATCTATATTTTACAAAAACTATAAGCCCGCTATATCAGTTTGCAGGGACTGCCATAACAAAGTACCACAAATTGGGTGGCTTAAAAAATAGAAATGGATTATCTCACAATTATGGAGGCTAGAAGTCTGAAATCAAGATGTTGGTAGGGTGGTTCCTTTTGAAGGCTCTGAGGAAGAATCTCTTACATGCTTCTACCTTAGATTCTGATGTTTGTTAGCCACGATTGGTGTTTTTCAGCATATAGAAGCACCACTCCAATCTCTGCCTTCATCTTCACATGCATTTTCCCTGTGTAAATATCTGTACCCAAAGTTCCCCCTTTATCAGCACATCAGTCAGATTGAAATAGGGCTCAGCCTATTAACTCATCTTAACTAACTACACTTACAACAACCTTATTTCCAAATAAGGTCACCTTCTGAATACCAACAGTTAAGACTTCAACATGTCAATTTGGGGAGTACATAATTTAATCCATAACACCACACCCATAGACACAAGAAATTCAACAAATTCCAGGCATAGGAAACATTAAGAAAACTACACTAAGGTATATCATAATTAAATTGCTCAAAAACAGCCAAAGAAAAAAATATATATATACACACAAATGTATATATACATATATTCATGTGTATGTGTATAAATATATATATAGTTATGTATATATACTGTGTGTATATATACATGTGTATATATGTGTATATATACTATATATGCTATACATTGTGTATATATACATGTGCGTATATATATGTATATATACTCTATATATGTATATACATATATATACACACACACAAATATCTGTAACATACATGGAAATAAAACTATGGATGACAGGAAATTTTTCATCAAAATACAACAAGCAAGGCAACAATAGAACAACAAGTTTAAAGTGATGAAAACAAAGTTAATCTAGAATTTTATGCCTAGCAAAAATATCTTTTAAAACTAAAGATGAGGCCAGGCACAGTGGCTCATGCCTGTAATCCCAGCACTTTGGGAGCTCAAGGCAAGTGGATCACTTGAGGCCAGGAGTTGGAGACCAGCCTGGCCAATATGGCAAAAACCTTGTCTCTACCGAAAATACAAAAATTAGCCACATGTGGTGGTGCACACCTGTAAGCCCAACTACTTGGGTGGCTGAGGCACGAGAACTGCTTGAACCCAGGAGGCAGAGGTTACAGTGAGCTTAGATCGCAACACTGTACTCCAGCCTGGGTGACAGAGCAAGACTCTGTCTAAAAATAAATAAGATGAAATAAAGTGTTTTCCAGATATACAAAGCCTCAAAGAAATTATTATCAACAGACCTTTCCTGCAAGACATGTTAAAGTCCTTGAGGCAGAACAATAGCAAAAGAAAATATGGATCTATACAAAAGAATAAAGAGCACTGGAAATGGTGATTGTGTGGGTAAATATATGAGATATTGTTCTTAATAGTTAAATCTCTTTAAAAGATAATTGGGTTATCAAACTAAAATAATTGTGGGCTTTTTAACATATGGGAAAGTAAAATACATGACATTAGCACACAGGCTGGGAAGGGAGAAATGGAAGAATACTATTGTTTCTTTTGCCATAGGTGAAGTAACATAATTTTACTTTAAGGTAGACTGTGATAAGTTAAAGACATATACTATAATGCTTAAAGCAAGTAAAAGAGAGAGAGAGTTATGGCTGATAAACCAATGAAAATATAAGAAATAATTAACCCAAAAGAAGACAAGACCAAAAGGGAAAGGAGAACAAATAACAGGAGAAATAAAAATCAAATACTCTGTTTGAATAAAGGAAGTAAAGAAAAAAGGAACAAAAACCAAATAGTAAGAAAGTAGATTTAAATCTAAACATATTAATCATATTAAGTGGGAATAGACATAATACCCAATTAAACAGCAGAGATTGTCAGACTGGATAAAAAAGCAAGACCTGGCCAGGCGCAGGCTCACGCCTGTAATCCCAACACTTTGGGAGGCCAAGGTGGGCAGATCTCACAAGGTCAAGAGATCGAGACCATCCTGGCCAACATGGTGAAACCCCGTCTCTACTAAAAATACAAAAATTAGCTGGGCGTGGTGGCACGTGCCTGTAGTCCCAGCTACTTGGGAGGCTGAGGCAGGGGAATCATTTGAACCCAGGAGGCAGAGGTTGCAGTGAGCCAACATTGTGCCACTGCACTCCAGCCTGGCAATAGAGCGAGACTCTGTCACACACACACACACACACACACACACACACAAAAAAAAAAAAAAAAAAAAAGCAAGACCTGACTATATGCTGCTAAGAAACTCTTTAAAAATAGCTAATGGTTACTGTGCTTATCACCCAGGTGATGAAATTATCTGTACCCCAAAACCCTGTGACACGCAGTTTATCTATATAACAAACCTGTACATGTGTCCCATAAAAGTGAAAAAAAATGAAATAAAGATAGTAGAAATCTGTGGGCCTAGTAGACACTCAAGGCTGCCTCTGTTCTAGTCCTAAGATGAAGTGGTTTTCTAGATCAGTCTAGAACAAGGAAATCTATCAGCCACCATTTCCCAAATGCTCGCCATTTGCATTTGACCACAAGGGTATCTCCTCTACTTGTGGTAGTCCACCACCAATCACCGTAGCAATTTTGACCTTTTCTATACATATCACCTTTATTATTTTTACTTAATATTGTTTCAGCTTACTAAATTTTGGTTTTAATAAATTTATTTTAAAAAGAAAACTTTACATTCCCACAGGAAAAACAATAAGCATTTTGTAAAGTTACATGAAACATCCGGAACAGGCAAATCTATAGAGATAGAAAGTAGATCAGCAATTACCTAGGGATGTGGGGAAGGGGGATTTGAAGGATGATGGTTAAGGGTTATAGGGTTTCCTCTTGAGGTAAGAAGAATACTCGAGAATTGCTATGAGGGATGCACAACTCTGATACACAACTCTGTGAATATACTAAAAACCACTGACTATACACTTTAAATAAATCAATTGTGTAGGACGTAAATTGTACTGCAAAAAAAAAACTGTTTTTAAAAAGTTAATATAATGCCCTCACTTTAAAATGAAGGAGAAGTAACAGGAATGTGATTTGTTCTTTAAAGAAAATAAAAGTCAAAATTCTACTTAGACCCTGTAGTCTCCCTGCTGACAGCTCTGAGGGCCTACCTTCTCTGTTAAAAAGGACATGCAAAAAGGAACTCACTTTTACACACACTAGAAGGACAACACTAAGAAAAGGCAGACAATAACAAATGTTGACAAATTATAATCCTTGTAACATCGCTGGTGGGAATATACAATGGTGCAGCAACTTTGGAAAACAGTTTGGTTCTTCCTCTATGTTAAACATAGAGTTATCATATGACCCAGGAACTCTACTCCTAGGTATATACCCAAGAGAATTAAAAATATGTCCACACAAAAACATGTATAAAAATGTTCATAAGACCATTACTTATAATAGCCAAAAAATAAAACATAAATGCCTGTCAAATGAATGAATAAACAAAATATCTATACAATGGCATATTATTCAACCATGAAAATGCATGGAGTACTGATACATCCTACAACATGGAAGAATCTTCAAAATATTATGCTAAAGCAAAAAGAAATCAGACACACAAAAAACCTACATATTATATGATTCTATTTATAAGAAATGACCAGAACAGGCAAACTATAACAGACAGAAAGTAGATTAGTGGTTGTCTGGGACAGGGCTAGACATTAGGGTGAAATGAAAGTGACTGCTACTATATATGATGAGGTTTTTTGGGGGGGTGATTAAATTGTCCTAAAATTGATTGTGGTGTCAGTTGCACAACCGTGTGAATATAGTAAAAAACATTGAATTATAAAATTTCAATTGGCAAATTGTATGATATGTGAATTATATCTCAATAAAGTGGTTAAATAAAATTTTAAAACACATGATTGCCAAAAAATGGGAACTTTTTTAAACATAAAGACATAAATGAGTCAAACGTAAAAGGATGGATTAGGATATACCATGCTAACATTAATCAAAAGAAACCTAGGATCATTATATTAATATCAGACAAAATATATTCTAAAGCAAAGAATATTATTAGGGATAAATAAGGTCACTTCAAAATAATAAAGGGATAGATTCACTAAGAGAAAATAACAATCCGAAACATTTGCATGTCTTAGTAATACATCTTCAAAATACATAAAGCAGAAATGTATAGAACTGCAAAGAGGAAGAGTAATCCACAATTATAGTTACAGTTTCATACCCTTACTAAAATTAAACAACAATTTATAGAACAAGCAAAAAAGCAGACTTAAATTTAGTAATAATATAGATGAATGAAACTCTTAAACAATTTTATCTAATTGACATTAATATCCAAAACCAGCAGAATAACGTGTTCTCTTCAGTACACAGAGAATACATTTCAGGATAGAGCATATTGTGGGCCATAAAGCAAGTCGAAAGAGATTTTAAAAGATTCAAGTCATATAAGGTATGTTTTCTGACAACAATGGAATTAAATTAGAAATAAATAACAGAAAGATAACTAGAAAATAACTAAATATCTAAAAAGTAATTAATATGGCATCTTAAAAGATTCATGGGTCAAAGAAAAAATTAAAAAGGAAATTAGCTATCACACAGGAAGTTATCATGAATATTTTAACTGAATGAGATTGAAACCGCAACATATCAAAATCTATAGGATACCACTAACGCAATATTTAGAGGAAAATATATAGCACAAAATATCTATAGTAGAAAAGGAGAAAATCAATTATCTCAGTTTCTACCATAAGAAACTAGAAAAAAAAAGACCAGAGCAGAAATCAAAGAAATAGAAAACAATAGAGAAAATCAATAAAATTACAAGCTAGCTCTTTTAAAAGATCAATAAAATTGATTACCATTTAGCCAGACTGATCAAAGGAAAAGGACAGAAGACACAAATTACCAAAATCATGAGTAAAAGAAGTGACATCATTGCTGAGTCATTCTGCAAGTATTAAAAGGAAAATAGGGGAATATTATAAAAGCTTTATACCAAAAACAAAGGTCATTTAGATGAAATGGATAAATTCCTTGAGAGACACAAGCTACCAATGTTTGTTCAGGAAGAAATAGATAAGCTCAATTGCCATGTAGCTATTAAACAAATGGGACTTATAATTCAAAATGTTCCCACAATGAAAACTCCAGGCCCAAAATGGCTTCAATGATAAATTCTACCAAACACTTAAGAAACAATACCAATTATACATAAACCCTTTAGGAAAACTAAATAGAAGAGAATACTTCCCATCTCATTTTGTGAGGCAAGCATTACCGTAATACCCAAACCAGATGAAGAAATAACATGAAGAAAAACTACCAATATCCCTTGTGAACATGAATATAAAAATTCTTAACAAACTTTTAGCATATTTAGTCCAGTAATATATAAAAAGAGTAATACATCATGACCAAGTGAGATGAGTCCCAAGAACAAAAGCATATGTCCATACAAAGACTGTAGTACACAAATATTCAGGCCAGTTTTATAATAGCTAAAAAGTAGAAACAACCTAAATGTTTAAGAAGTGAATGAATAAACAAATTCCATGCAATGAGATACTACTCAGTAACGAGAATCAATGAATTATTGACACATATACCAACATAAATGAAGCTCCAAATAATCATGTTAAAAGAAATCAGTCCAAATAAAAGTACAACCATTTGCAGGAATGTAAATTAGTAGAGCCCCTGTAGAAGAATATGGAGGTTCCTCAAAAAGCTAAAAATAAAAATAAAACTACCACCACTGGATATATACCCCAGAAAATCAGTATATAGAAGATATATCTACACTCCCATGTTCTTTGCAGCCAAGATATGGAATTAACCTAAGTACCCATTAATGGATGCATGGATTAAAAAAATGTGGTACATAGACACAATGGAATATTATTCAGTCATAAAATAGAATGAAATCCTGTCATTTACAATATGGATGGAAGAGAACATTCTCATCCATATTTCATTGTTAAATGAAATAAGCCAGGCACAGAAAGACAAATATCGCATGTTCTCACTTATATGCGAGAGCTACAAAAAAAAAAAAAAAAAAAAAAAAATGAACTCATGGAGACAGACAGTAGAATGATGGTTACCAGAAGCTGGGAAGGGTAGTGGGGACAGGAGGATAAAAAGGAGCTGGCTAATGGGTACAAAAAGACAGATAGAAGGAATAAGATCTATTGTTTCACAGCACAATAGGGTGACTATGGTTAATAATTTATTGTATGTTTCAAAACAACTAAAAGATTAGAATTGAAATGTTCTTAATATAAAGAAATGATCAAAGCATAAGGGAATGGATACTGCAACTACCATGATTTGATCATTACACATTGTATGCTTGTAGCAATGTACATGTACCCCATAAATATGTACAACTATGTCTCCATAATAATAAAAAATAAAAAATTTTTAAAGTACATACTGTACTTTATAATTTCATTTATACAGAATTCTAGAAAATACAAACTAATCCATAGTGACAGAAAGCAGGTCAGTGAGTGCCTGGGGATGAGGAAAGGGTGAAGCGGCCCTGAGAGCAGAAGGAAGAGATTAAAAAGGGACATGAAGAGACTTTTGGGGTAATAGATATGTTCATTAGCTTTGCTGTAGTAACAGTTTTATAGATGTATACATATGCCACAACGTATCACACTGTACACTCTATATATATGTGTGGTGAGTTTTTTATGTGAATTATAACTCAGTGAAGAGATTTTAAACAAAAGCGTTACCACAATACTCAATTTATAACCACACTTCAGTAAGGGCCCATTCTAAATGGGGATAAACTCTATATATGCCAGGATTATTTAAAAAATAAGATATGGAAACTTTGCAAAAGTCACACATCAAGTCTGCACCAATGCTGGGCAGAAAAACATCTAACCCCACTCCACTTGGAAGACTGGGTTGTCTTGGACATCAAGCATTGCCAATACCCCTTATAAATACCAAAGCTTCCCGAAGTAAGTTTTGAATAACACTAAATCTACAGGGGGGTAGTAAATGTGATGCAACAAAAAAGCATTTTGAGATAAAAAAAAGCATGGGAAACTTTAAACCAAATGGTATTCTTTAATAACAGGACTTTCCAAACTCTTTCACATGCAGTGTGCATTTTAACTCTGTAAAGCCCTGATGTGTATATAGAAATTCCCTAAAGTATTTGGTGATAGAGTTCTTGCGCTCAGACTTTTTCCCAGGAGGTGTATCCCATCTAGCTGTCTTTGGGACATTCTTTGTGAGCATTTCCGGGCTTCTCTCTGTCCTCTAGCTGCAGGCTAGGGAGATAAATGAGGGGAAATAAAGGGCAGGCAAAGTAAAGGGTGATCATGCACGTGCATATAGACTGTTCCCAATAGTTCAGGCAAAGCATGAAAATTCTGAAGCCAAAAATAAACTGATTTTGCATTTTCCATTGTTTCATTTATCCAAGACACTAACATAAAAAATTTCTTCTCAGCATGGTAACACTCCCCTTCATGAGCACAGATAATCAATCAGTAGTTGGTTATCCTTGAAACAGAGTGACAGACTCAGCAGAGGAACAAAGAATGCCTATTAGGGGAGAGACAGACAGAGGAGGGGGCTTGGGAACCATCACTGTTAGGAGAGTTGATCACACCACCAACAGCTACATCTCCAGGGACCCTAATTATTACCATAACCTTCATTTCACGGGAGTTCACAGTCTGGGCACCTCCATCCATCTTGTAGTTGACAAGTGGCATCATAAATCTTCCTTTCACCTCTCAAAAGGGCCACAGCTGAGCTAGAGTACCCCTCCTCAGTCTCTCCCCGCCTCCTGTCTCCAACCTAGGCACTATTCTTCTCAAAGAGTCAAACAAAACCAAGCTGTCCCACGCAGCAGTAATAAAGCCTGATCTAAAGGAGCTGGGGGCTCAGACTCAGAAGAAAGGACAGCTGGGGACAGAACAATGCACTGGGCAAGAGAAAGCACATGAATATTCAAGTATGTTCAAGGGCTCTGAGAGTCTCTTAACCACAAAGGGAAGCCTGATCACTCCTTCCCACTCCTTGAAGAGCTAAAATGACCAGCCAGATAACACTGAGCCCTTCAGACTTCCAGTGTTAACCAAACAGAATTCCTGTGCTCAGAGGCCGCTCAGATTCAAAAATGGAAAGTGAGAAGCCCCACCAGCAAAGCTATTCATCTGCCCCTAGTCTCAATTCCTTCTCCCAGGGCTTCTCTGAAGATTAGGGTTTGAAATGAAATGAATCATCCTGGGTCATCCCCCTTGATTCTATTAATGAAAGAATTTATGCTTACAGAAGAGACTTCCCCAAATATATAGACTATTAGTAGAAACCAGAGCTAGGACCTAACCCTCCTTACTTCACATCTGTTATACATTTCACCAGACTGTATCAAGATCTTCTACCCTTAGGGGTCAGAGGACCCTCTGAGTTTCTAGGTAAAGCTTCAAAGACATGTGCACATTTCCCAAAACAGGTTCTACAGTTTTCATTACACACATAAGGGAGCAGATAATAAAATTAAGAATCACTGCAACAGGGAGTAATTCAGTTCTCAAAGCAGAAAGAAGTTGATCTCAAACAACAGGTGCTCATTCAGGGACAAAAGGAAAAACAAATATAAGTAGGACTGTACTGAAGGAAATTATGAGATGTAGATCTTGGTCTTGTATCTTCTCATCTCCTCTTTTAGCTTGCTGTCATTAATCTGGTCTTCCATATTCCTCCTCCCTTTCCTCATTTATCTCCCATAATCAATATATGCTTGTACTATATCCCATCTTTTTAAGCTTCAAGCTCTTTCTCTTTTGAAAAGCAGTCCATGCTAACATGTTATTGACTTACTAAGGTTTGTCTTCACATGAGTCTTAATTGCCTTAAACAAGTACATGATAGTGGAATCTCAGATACTACAGCATTCTGGCTAGGAGATATTTGTGTGGCAGAGGAAGCCTTTCAGGGATGCTCAGAGATGGAATTAATTCCCAAAGTCAGAGCAAAAGGTGAAAAGAATGCCTGATTCAAGTTACTAAAAATAATTTGAAAACCCCATTAATCCCTCATTAGTAGAAAATAGCAAACATAATCCTTTATGCCAACACTGGATGGCAATAGGTACAGATATCAAACACGCTATATATAAAAATTTTATTTTTTCTTTAAGAGGTGGGGATCTTGCTATGTTGCCCAGGCTGGGGTGCAGTGGCTATTCAAAGATGCAATTATAGCACACTACAGCCTCAAATTCCTGGGCTCTATCTATCATCCTGCCTCAGCCTCTGAAGTAGCTGGAACTATAGACGCACACCACTTGCCTGGCTAAAATTCAAATCTTTAAACACTGGCATATTGCTCAGTGAGGAGAAATGTTCACACTAAGAGAAACCATGGAAATTAAGACCAACTGCATTCATGTCTTCCATATCTTTCCATCTCAGTTTACCATGGAGCATTCCATCATAGAATGGAATGGTAGACATAACAGCCTTTACTACTTAAATTGTTGTTTTCTCATGCATGCATCTGCTGCTATTGTTTTGTTTTCGCTAGGCATGTTTCTGGGTCTATACAATGCATCTCTGATGCAATTCCACATTGATAGAGTTGGTTGTAGGCTTCTGGCCACATAATAACTAGTATTATTAGCCAAAAAACTCATCTGTTTTTAAAAGCCAACTTCTAGTGTTATCTCATATGGGTCCTTAGAGGAAAGAATTTGTCAGTCGTTTTTCTCCCTCTAGTTTCTTAAAGAGGTGAGTGAATAATGAACTCACTGAATCTGGACTTACGTGGACTTAGGAAGCCTAAGTAACAGAAAGGGGATTGGCAGATAATTAGTAGACTTGAATTGCATTCCAGTTCTGCCAGAGACTCACTGGGGAATCCTAGGGCAGCCTTAACCTCTGTGTACCTCAGCATCTTCATCTATACAAGGAGAAGATTAATTCTGAGGAACCTACATTTCTTTTTTCCAACTCTAAACTATTGTGCTTCTAGGCCCAGCTCTGCCACTTGCTGAATAATCTTAGCCAATATCTCTCCCTATCTCAGCTCAAATTCTGGCTCTTTTACTTCTAGCTGTATGACCCTGGGTCTTACCTAACCTCTTTATGACTCAGTGCCATCATCTGTAAATAATAATATAAAAGCCCTGACCTCGCAGAATTACACAAGATGATCCACATAAAAAACTCAAACAATACAACACAGACACATAGTAAGTGATGAATAAACAGAAGCCAATATTACAATAAACAGAGGGAGTTGGGCCAGCAGTTCCCTAGTTGTCCGCTCTTCCCTTGGTCTACCGCCGATTTTGTAGTCAATCATGTTTGCCAACTATGGATGAAAATCAAGTGTCATTGGGAATCATTCACTTGCTTAGACTCCAAATGTAAATGATATTCAGGCATCCAGGGGTAAAGGCTGATTTTGCCGGGAATGGCAAGGAAATTTTTGCCTGAGTATAGAAAAGCCCACTGTTGTTCAACAGTTCAGTCAATATTGTCCCGAGGGTACAAACCTATCACCAAGAACCCTAGGTGCAGATTCTGGTCACTGTCAATCACAATGTGAGACCTTGGACAGCTCGCACTGGTCCTGCATTTTATTACCTGTAGAAGACTTCCCACGCCACACCTCATGAGAGACACAGATGAATTCCAAGTTGGAGAGAGATTTCTCTGATCTCAGCCCTCACTATTAGTCATTCTACAGATCTCCACAAAGAGCAAGGTATGGGTTTTGCCATGTTCGTGATGTTAAGGCAAATCTCTATTTGTGATGCAATTTGTGTGATCCCTGCCTCAACCCTACAAAGGAGGCTGAGCAGCTAGCACCCCCTGGTCACAGATGGCCCAGGGACGTGACACCATTCACACAGGTCACAGAGTAACTTATGCAGCAGCAAGAAGGCAAACCCCGTTTTCTTAATTCCAAATTTAGTTCTTAGACATTTATTTTATTTTCAGCCACCTAACATAAAGGATCCATATCCCTCTCTCCCAACCCTTCAGTCCAAAATACCTCAAGGTCTCTATGGTGATTGAAAAATGCTCTAATAACTCAGTCATGGAGCTCACCCATTCCTGACATCCCCAGCTCTTGCCTGATCCCTGACCTCTGCCTCATTCTGAATCATCCTAGATCTATGGGATTAACAGTTCTGTCCACCCACCATCTGTCTCCTACCCTATAAAAAAAATTGGGTTGAAAGAGCACCATTGCTGACCGGTGGTCCAGCTCCTGAAAGGCCACCCACCCACTCCGTTCTGCCTTCTTCCAGCCTCAGCCTGAGAGCCCAAAGGATTGCCTTAGCCGCCTCTGCATTGCGTCTATCCTCCTTCGCTTCCCCCCTCCCAATCCATGAGCTCGCTCCCATTGCTAGGAGCATCATTGCACAGCACTCTTCTGCCTGGACCAAGGGCTACAGGACTGCCAGGCAATGCTGGAGAAGACGGTGGGAGTGGCAGATGGGATGGAGGGGGCTCAGCTCTCCGCTCAGGCCCCAACTGGAGGCCAGCAACCTCCATCTGCTGCGTTTCCGCAGCCACCCCACCCATGCGTCTCCTCCCGAGGACTTGCGCGTCTGTCTCAGCATTGGAATGGGGCTGCTCTATAGCCCTCAGTGAGATGTGATTACAACCAACCCCTCCCCCACTTTTCTGGATGGGAACTGGACGCTTGGCAATGAGGCTGGGATGGAAATGTATCTGCGCTGCAGGAAGCCCAAATTTACAGAGAGAAAATTGATTCAATGCAGAAAAGGTGTGCATTAAACCGAGCCAGTTTCTAGTTAAAATTGTGCAGCTGGAGATTTGACGTCAACAACGTCAGCCTCTTGCCTCTGCACAGACTCCGCAATCCATCATGCCTTCTCCTCCCACCCAGAGACCTGATGTCTTCATATTGTCCTCCTCTCCCTTTACTAAAGTCTGCTTTCAGAAAAGGATCTTATATTTGTCCCTTACACCTGAGTGAGAATGTCAGTCTGTTTTCTCTGCTATAAAGACTTCCATGCTTAGCTTCATCTCTCAATATGGAGGCCAAGGTGGTCATTCTTTGGGGCCATAGGATGAACTATAAATGTGTGACTAGGGACTAGAGAAGGAAGTACCCAGACTTGTGGGATCTTAAGCAAGATAGTTCACTTCTCAGAGCTTCATCTGACCAGCAGGCATGATAAGATCCAACAGGTCTATCTCATGGGGCTGTTTTGTCATCAGATAATTTGCTGACAAGATACAGTAATTAGAAATCTGAGCTTAAATCATACATATCTGAGTTTAAATTGTGGCTCTAGCTGTGTGACCTAAAGCAAGTTACCTGCCCACTCTAAGGCTCAGCTTGCTTATCTGTAATTACAAGGATAATTAAATTTTAAATACTTCACAGGGTTGGAAGAACTGACAATAGACCTTATATTATGTAATGGTTAAAAGCATGAACTCTGTAGTCATACTATGTAGGTTTAAGCTAATACTTGTGAGTATTCAGTGATTTAAAATATACATGAAGTATTTCTAATAGTAGCTGGCACTGGCACATAATAAGAATTAGTAAAAATTAACTATTATTTGTGTTTTTTTTAAATAAAGTCCTTTGTACCATTCCTGATACATAGTAAGTGCTCAATAAATGACTGTTATCACTATAATGCCCAAACATATAATAATGTCATCCTTCTAGCATAATCTTTATAATGGTGCCTCCCTCTCACACCACTCCATGTGAAAATGACTCCAGTGCTTAAAAATCAAAACCATCAGGTTGGGACTAAGGCACACTCAGGATTTTCAGTGACTTGCAGGGCAGTGCTTATGAGGCAGTGAAAAGAATAAATCACGTGCCCAGTGTACTGGGGGTAGAGGGAGGGAAGGGGGTTGAAAAGACAGAGACAGAAAGCAAAAGATGTGTGTTCTCACACATGAATTCTGCAGCTGATGTGACCCTGCCTGCAATGTGTTTACCACAACGACAAAGTTCCCAACAGCCCTGCTGAAGCTTTTGGCCAATAACCCAAGAATTTTGTGGATTCTCTATCCAATCTCCTTACTTACGCATGAGGCAAATAAGACCCAGAGAGGGAAAGGTGCTTACCCAAAGTCACACAACTGATGAGTGACAGCCAGGACTAGAATGAAGACTTCTAGCCCCAAGTCCAAGGTAATATCTACTAGGCCATGTACCTAGAAATGGAAATTATGGCTCAAAGAAGTGGCTCAGCAGGTCGTAAAACAGGTCCTCTTAGAGGAAAATGTACAAGAAGGTCTTGCTTGGAGTAACAAAGTATATACTCATGTCCTCTTTCTGTTACGTAGTAAGTGCTCAGTAAGTGACTGTTGTTACTATAATGCTCAAACATAATAATGTCATCCTTCTGGCATTATCTTTATACTGGTTCCTGCCCTTCACACCTCACCATGTGAGAATTACTCCAGTGCTTAAAAATCAAAGCCACAGGGGGTTGGCTTGAATCAGAGATGTCTATCTGCTCCTCCATCCCACCACTATCTTTTCTCCACTCGCGTGACCAGGTACTTCACAGGCATGCCCAAAAGATTGTCTAGCTATTACATTACATAATGTCAATATAACGGCATCCCTGAGGTGCTCCAGATGTCCATATCATTGGTGTAACTGCTACAGGACTTACCCAAAAAAAGAGGGAGTCCCAGAAACAGCTAAGAGATAAAGAGAACAGTTACTCTGTGGCTATCAAAAATGCTCTATTCCTGGTGTCTGCTTTGGCTTGTTCTTATTGGCCAAATGGTCCTGGAGTTAATGTATTTCTATCCAGTAAAATCCAAAAAGGAAGCAGCTATAACTGCCGCTGCTGTTGGCCCTCATACAGGCTTTTCTGTAAATGATACTAGAGCAAACAGCTTAAAGTGTTCTGCAAAGACACTTTCAAAATGTCCATATTAGATCTCAGGCAACATTGCCTAGTTTCTTTACAAACCCCACCTCTAAAGCCAGTTCACTAACCCTTACTCCAGCCATGCTGTAAATTCCAAAGATACATGTGTTAAATTGTCTCTCATATTTAGGTTATGAATGCAGATAAAATCTAATCATTTAACAAGTCATTGCTAAACATCATCATGTACGGGATTTCAAGAGAAGTTCAAAGACAAATACAATGCAGGGCCTTCTCTCAAGGAGCTAAAAGTTTGGAAGCGGAGATATACTATGTACTTATTAAAAATCTAGCAGAACTCTAAGGTGTATCTGCTTATTAGCCCTAAAGCAGCCTTTGTCAACTTTCCACTAAAATAACCAGAAGACAGAGATAAACACACAAAAACACATAATGAAAAAGGAAAAAAAAAAAGACAACCTAGTAGAAATGTTTGTTAATTGTGAAGCAGCTGGTGTTCCTATAGCAAAACTTAAAGGCTTAGCTCAAGATATCCAGGTTTCATCTCATGGAACCCACTGTCTGCACTAACTCAAACCCAAGAAACCAAAAAACTGCTCTATTTTTAGAGCATGGATGTTGCTTACTGAGGGGATCAGAACACAGGGCTTGGCACATGGTATACAGAAACCAATTCCTGCTAACTGGATAAATGAACAAGTTATTCCATTATCCATCCATTCTCATATAGCTAACCCTAATGTCTTAATTCTAAGTCCTTTGTAATACAGTAACTCTGAGCATGAAGAAGGAGTGCCTTGCTATGGTTTGGATATAGTTTGGCCCCACCAAAATGCATGTGAAAATTTGATCCCCAATGTAGCAGTGTTGGGAGGCAGAAACTAGTGGGAGGTGTTTGGTTCATGAGGAAGGATCCCTGATGAATAGGTATTTCCCTCCTGCGGGAGTGAGTTCCTGCTCTCACAGGAATGAATTACTTCCTGAGATAGTGGGTTGTTAGAGTCTGTCTTCCTCAGTTTCTCTCTCTTGCTTCCTCTCTCATCATGTGATCTCTTTGCACACATTGGCTTCCCTTCTGTTTTCTGCCATGAACTAAAGCAGCCCAAGGCCCTCATCAGATTCAGCTGCCCAATCTTGAACTTTACAGCCACCAGAATCATGAGCTAAATAAACCTCTTTTCTTTACAAACTACCCAGTCTCAGGTATTCTGTTATAGCAACACTAAATGAACTAAGACAGGCTGGAAATGGCAAATTGCATCCTGGAACATGTCTTTATATATAATCAGTTTATATATAAAGCAATTCAACCTGGGAAAGAAAAAAAATAATTTCTGGTAGTACTATATGCTAAAAATTGGATTTTACATGTTTTTTCATTGATTCAGAGTATTATAAAGAATGTAGATGAACTAGGATAAAATGCTATGTTAGCAAACTGGAATGTTATAGATCAGTTTCTCAATTTCAGCACTTTGGGCCACAGAATTTTCTTTTGTTGAGTGTGTGTCCCATGCATTGTAGTGTTTAACAGTCTCCCAGGCCTTGATTCACTAGATACCAGTAGCAAACATACCCCTCCCCAAGTCATAACAATCAAAAATGTCTCCAGATGTTATCTAATGTCCCTTGGGGGAAAAATGCTCCCAGTTGAGAACCATTGCCATAGATAAGTGTTTAAGAAACTGGAAATTATATGGTGAGTTATTCATATTACATTGCCATCTAACTGTAAAGCTGACCAATCATCATGTAAATACCCTTGAGTGAAAACCAAGGGAAGTCAGACCTTCAAATATCAACAAACTCAAGGTTTTTATATAATTGAAAATTTTGAAAGATAACTAGCATGAACTTCAGATGAAAACATGCAGAACAAAGAAAAATAAAGATTATCCAAAAGATCCCAGAAATAATCTACTGCAAGATACAGAAGAAAATTTCAGAAAACTGTTTGGTATTCTCAACAGAGAGCAAAAGAAAAAAAAATTAGTATCCATGAAATGAGCAGGAAGCCATTAGGACAAATAGCTAAAATGAAAATATAACAAATATTATGACTCAATGAGATAAAAGGATAAAATAAAAGGTAGTATTTTTAATATTAAAAAACACTATAGCTGTAATTGTAAAATCAAAATACACAAAAGAAGCAGTAAATAAGCAAAACTGATAAAGCATAAAATCACAACTGTAATGTGGGACATTCTCCCAGACTGCAAAGGAAAAGGAAAAAGAGAAAACCATGAAAAAAATTGGAAAAAAAAACAAAAGCTAATATGAAGATACTTAGCATTTCTAAAAATGTCATCAAAACCAAAAGAAAAAACATTAACCAAAGATATAGTATAAATTAAATGTACTCAGATAGAAAAGACTTATTCATATACAAATTGAAAGGGTCCACTGATTTCCAGATCAATTCAATTAAAAGCCACCCTCATATAAAAAAATAGCACTACCTTTTCAAAAATTATGTGATTTGTAACAAGAGGAATGCTACATACATGCAGAGATTTTTTAAAGAAAAAAAGGGGATTTCTGTGAAGAAACAACAATCAGGCAAGTCTCATATTTTTGCTCTAAAATGAGTTATAACCCAAGAATCATATACTCAGCCAGTTTGTATTAGATAAGCAAGGGCTAAGAGAAACATACTATTCGTATTCACTTTTTTTGAGATAGGGTCTTTCTCTATTACCCCGGCTGAAGTGCAGTGGTTCCAGCATGGCTGACTGCAGCCCCAACCTCCTGGGCTCGATCGATCCTTCCACCTCAGCCTCCTGAGTAACTGGGACTACAGACACATGCCAAAATGCCCAGCTAATTTTTTTTTATTTCTTGGAGAGATGAAGTTTTGCCATGTTGTCCAGGTTTGTCTTGACCTCCTGGCTTCAAGCAATCCTCCCACCTCAGCCTCCCAAAGTGCTGGGATTACAGGATGAGCCACTGTACCTGGCCTATATTCACTTTTTTAAAGTTATTTAAAAGTATACCCCCATATGAAGCAGGCAAAAAGAAAAAGAAGTAAAAGTATATCCCCAAAAGAAAAAGAAGTCAAAGTATAACCCCAAAGAGCAAGGAAATAAAAAAGAAGATCTCAGAAATAGAGGATTGATGTGAAAAGACTGATAGTAAACACTATCAATCTAAACTGAGTATATCAGAGTATATGTATTCTGTAGGAAATCAGAAGTTTACTAAAAGCGTACTAAATATTTTAAAGTTAATACAATTTTTCTATCAACTGAAAATTAAATAGCTACATAAAAACATAGCTCTCAAAAACATTTAAAATAATCATGAATAGAATATAAGTATTCAAAACACCAGGAAAAAAAATTATATATATTCCATCAGACACAGAAAATAATAAAACAAGAAAGCAGAAAATAAGCTAGACATCATCAAGATAGCTGACTACAAGTGCCCAATGCTCATTTCTTCTGCAGAGAGGGGTCAAAACAATAAACAAATAATTACACTTCAAGTGGAGTGTATAATAGAGAATAACGGAGTGCATCAAGGAAGTCATATAAACCCCCTAAGGCATGGAAACTCAGAATGGCTGCAAAGGTAAGTGGGAGGTCCCCAGCAATCCCCATTACTACCACAGACACCTGCAGTCTTAGTTGCAGAAGAGCCAAACAGTCCTCATGGGTCCTAAGCCCAGTAAAGGGAGATGCCCAGAATCCATGCAGCAGAATTGTGCCAGAGAAAGAACTCACACTGGGTCTATCCCACTCCCCAGGACCCAAACTGTTACGGCATAGTGCTATTTTGAGAGTAGAGCCACTGCTAAAGCGCATCCTTCCTGGGGGCCAATATAGCCTCACACTTCTGAGACCGCATCATTATTCCACTACACCCATACAAAGGGCTGCAATGCCACAACCCCAACATAAACCTGTACCAAGGGGTACAACTGTGACCCCAGCACTTGAGCTCACGTAGTGTCCTGCACCCCAAGAAAGAGGTGGTCTAGCAGAGTGGTGAGGCCATCCCTAAAACTGAAAAAATCAACATACCCGCCACTAAGGGCCCAAGGACTGGCATGCCCAGAACCCACTGCCACCAGGAACACTACATCCTCAAGCGTCAAAGCCATCACATACATTCCCCATCCCCAGGCCTCAAGGACCAGCCCACCTGGGTACCAACACCACCAGCAATCCCACCTACTTCATTGTTGGAGATGCCATACATCACACACAACTCCCATAGCCCAAGTACTGGCCCACCTGGTGCCCATCACTGCCAGTAATGCTGCTATGCCCAGTGTGTGTCCCCTCTCAAGGCCTGAGAACTAGTCCACTTGGAGGCCCCTGCCTGCAGCAAAGCCATACCACTGCCTTCACAAACACCCAAGTCTAGGCCAATAAGTCATTCATAGACATCACTGACATTGGTTACAGCCAAAGAAATCACAAAAAGACACTACTATGCACACCCAAAACCAAAGCCAAAGGACTCTATTCAATCAGCACTATAGGACACATCTACAGAAATTAATATTTCCCTACAAAAGTTACTCCATAAAACAGGAAGAGAGACAACTGTTCCCCAAGACATGCAAATATCAATGCAGTGACGAGAGAATCAAGAAAAAGCAAGAAAACATGATACCTCTAAATGAACACAATGAGTTTCCAATAACAGATCTCAAAAAAAAAAGGGAAATCTATGAAATGCCTAGAAAGGAATTCAAAATAATAATGTTAAAGAAACTCAGCGAGATACAAGAGATACAAGAGAATGCAGATGGACGTTTTGACAAAGTCAAAAAACAATTTATGATCTAAATGAGGAATTTAACAGAGATAAACATAAAAAAACTAAATGGAAACTAAAAATGCAATCAAAAGCTTCACCAACAGACTAAATCAAGCAGAAGGAAAAAATTCTGAACTTCAAGACAGGCATTTTGAAATAACCCAATCAGATCAAATATAAAAGAAAGAAGACAGCCAATGGGATTTATGGGACACCAGTAAGGGAAGAAATTTTCACATTATGAAAATACCAGAAGGAGAAGAGACAAAAAAGGGGCATAGAAAACCGATTTAATGAAATAATAGCTGGACGTTTTTAAAGTTGTGGTAGAGATATACACATTCAGATCCAGGAAGCGCAAAAGGCCCCAAACAGATCCAACCTAAACAGTTCTTCCTCAAGGCACAATATGGTCCAAATGTCAAAAATCAAAGACAGAAAATTCTAAAAACAGCAAGAGAAAAAGTGTCAAATCAAATATTAGGAAACCCCCCTTAGACTAACAACAAATTTATCAGCAGAAATCTTACAGGCCAATAGAGAATGGAATAATATTTTCAAAGTGCTGAAAGAAAAACAATTGCCACCCAAGAATACTAAACTCAGCAAAGCTATCTTTCAGAAATAAAATAAAAATAAAGCCTTTCCTAAACAGGCAAAAACAGAAAATCTATCACCACTAGAATGGCCTTACGAGAAATGCTAAAGTTAGTCCTGTATCTGGAAATAAAAAGACAATATCTGCCATCACGAAACACACAAAAGTATAAAACTCACAAGTAGAGCAGGTCCACAAATTAGAAACAGAAAGAAATCAAATCTTATCCCTATAAAAAATCATTAAACCACAAAGATAAATAATAAGAGAGAAAGAAAGGAACAAAGGATATATAAAACAACTAAAAGACAATTAACAAACTGACAGTAGTAAGTCCTAACATATCAATAATAACCTTGAGTATAAGCAGCTTAAGTCTCCAATTAAAAGATATAGATTGCTTGAATGAATTATAAAAACAAAACCTGATTACGTGCTGCCTACAAGAAACTCTGCATTTATAAAGACAGAGTAGACTAAAAGTGAAGGAATGGGAAAAGATATTTCATGCAAATGGAAAGCATAAACAAACAAGAGTAGCTATACTTACATCAGATAAAATAGACATTAATTCAAAAATTATAAAAAGAGACAACGAAGGTATTACATAATGATAAAAGGATCACTTTGACAAGAGAATATAATGACTATAAACATATGTGCACCCAGCTCCAGAGCATCCAGCTATAGAAAGCAAATATTATTAAATCTAAAGGGAGAGATAGACTTCAATTTAATAATAGTTAGGGACGTCAACACTCCACCCTCAGCACTAGAAGTTTGTTTCTATCCAGAAAATCTACAAAGAAACATCAGATTTAAACTGCATTATAGATCGAAAGGACCTAACAAACATTTACAGGACATTTCATCAAACAACTGCAGAATACCATTCTTCTCGTCAGCACACAGAACATTCTCCAGGATAGGCCATATGTTAGGGCATAAAACAGGTCTCAACAAATTTTAAAAATCAAAATTAGGCTGCTCTGCCTAAGGAGTAGCCACCCTTTTTAATTCCTTTACTTTTAAAAAATTCAAAATTACATAAAATATCTTTTCAACCACAATGAAATTAAACTAGACATCAATAAAAAAGAGAATCTTTGGAAATTGTACAAATACATGTAAATTAAACAATATGCTCCTGAATGACCAATGGGTCAGTGAAGAAATCAAGAAGAAAATTTTAAAATTTCTTGAGACAAATGAAACTGGAAACACAACCATAGCAACACCTATGGGATAGAGCAAAATCAGTTCTAAAAGGATATTTTATAGCAATAAACACCTATCCCAAAACAGTAGAAAGACTTTAAATAAACCTAATGATGCAACTGAAGGAAGTAGAAAGGCAAGACAAACCCAAATTAGCAGAAGGAAAGAAATAACAAAGATCAGAGCAGAAATTAACAAAGTACAGTCTAAAACATACAAAAGATCAAGAAAACATTGATTTCTTTTTTAATTTTATTATGATTATACTTTAAGTTTTAGGGTATATGTGCACAACATGCAGGTTTGTTACATATGCATACATGTGCCATGTTGGTGTGCTGCACCCATTAACTCGTCATTTAGCATTAGGTATATCACCTAATGCTATCCCTCCCCCCTCCCCCCACCCCACAACAGTCCCCGGTGTGTGATGTTCCCCTTCCTGTGTCCATGTGTTCTCATTGTTCAATTCCCACCTATGAGTGACAATATGCGGCGTTTGGGTTTTCGTCCTTGCGATAGTTTGCTGAGAATGATGGTTTCCAGCATCATCCACGTCCCTACAAAGGACATGAACTCATCCTTTTTTATGGCTGCATAGTATTCCATGGTGTATATGTGCCACATTTTCTTAATCCAGTCTATCATTGTTGGACATTTGGGGTGGTTCTAAGTCTTTGCTATTGTGAATAATGCCGCAATAAACATACGTGTGCATGTGTCTTTATAGCAGCATGATTTATAATCCTTTGGGTATATACCCAGTAATGGGATGGCTGGGTCAAATGGTATTCCTAGTTCTAGATCCCTGAGGAATCACCACACTGACTTCCACAATGGTTGAACTAGTTTACAGTCCCACCAACAGTGTAAAAGTGTTCCTATTTCTCCACTTCCTCTCCAGCACCTGTTGTTTCCTGACTTTTTAATGATCGTCATTCTAACTGGTGTGAGATGGTATCTCACTGTGGTTTTGATTTGCATTTCTCTGATGGCCAGTGATGATAAGCATTTTTTCATGTGCTTTTTGGCTGCATAAATGTCTTCTTTTGAGAAGTGTCTGTTCATATCCTTCACCCACTTTTTGATGGGGTTGTTTTTTTCTTGTAAATTTGTTTGAGTTCATTGTAGATTCTGGATATTAGCCCTTTGTCAGATGAGTAGGTTGCAAAAATTTTCTCCCATTCTATAGGTTGCCTGTTCACTCCGATGGTGGTTTCTTTTGCTGTGCAGAAGCTCTTTAGTTTAATTAGATCCCATCTGTCAATTTTGACTTTTGTTGCCATTGCTTTTGGTGTTTTAGACATGAAGTCCTTGCCCATGCTTATGTCCTGAATGGTATTGCCTAGGTTTTCTTCTAGGGTTTTTATGGTTTTAGGTCTAACATGTAAGTCTTTAATCCATCTTCAATCAATTTTTGTATAAGGTGTAAGGAAGGGATCCAGTTTCAGCTTTCTACATATGGCTAGCCAGTTTTCCCAGCACCATTTATTAAATAGGGAATCCTTTCCCCATTGCTTGTTTTTCTCAGGTTTGTCAAAGACCAGATAGTTGTAGATATGTGGCATTATTTCTGAGGGATCTGTTCTGTTCCATTGGTCTATATCTAGGTTTGGTACCAGTACCATGCTATTTTGGTTACTGTAGCCTTGTAGTATAGTTTGAAGTCAGGTAGCGTGATGCCTCCAGCTTTGTTCTTTTGCCTTAGGATTGACTTGGCAATGCAGGCTCCTTTTTGGTTCCATATGAACTTTAAAGTAGTTTTTTCCAATTCTGTGAAGAAAGTCATTGGTAGCTTGATGGGGATGGCATTGAATCTATAAGTTACCTTGGGCAGTATGGCCATTTTCACGATATTGATTCTTCCTACCCATGAGCATGGAATGTTCTTCCATTTGTTTGTATCCTCTTTTATTTTGTTGAGCAGTGGATTGTAGTTCTTCTTGAAGCGGTCCTTCACATCCCTTGTAAGTTGGATTCCCAGGTATTTTATTCTCTTTGAAGAAATTGTGAATGGGAGTTCGCTCATGATTTGGCTGTTTGTCTATTATTGGTGTATAAGAATGTTTGTGATTTTTTCACATTGATTTTGTATCCTGAGACTTTGCTGAAGTTGCTTATCAGCTTAAGGAGATTTTGGGCTGAGACGATGGGGTTTTCTAAATATGCAATCATGTCATCTGCAAACAGGGACAATTTGACTTCCTCTTTTCCTAATTGAATGCCCTTTATATCCTTCTCCTGCCTGACTGCCCTGGCCAGAACTTCCAACACTATGTTGAATAGGAGTGGTGAGAGAGCGCATCCCTGTCTTGTGCCAGTTTTCAAAGGGAATGCTTCCAGTTTTTGTCCATTCAGTATGATATTGGCTGTGGGTTTGTCATAGACAGCTCTTATTATTTTGAGATACATCCCATCAATACTGAATTTATTGAGAGTTTTTAGCATGAAGCGTTGTTGAATTTTGTCAAAGGCCTTTTCTACATCTATTGAGATAATCATGTGGTTTTTGTCTTTGGTTCTGTTTATATGCTGGATTACGTTTATTGATTTTCATATGTTGAACCAGACTTGCATCCCAGGGATGAAGCCCACTTGATCATGGTGGATAAGCTTTTTGATGTGCTGCTGGATTCGGTTTGCCAGTATTTTATTGAGGATTTTTGCATCAATGTTCATCAAGGATATTGGTCTAAAATTCTTTTTTTGTTGTTGTGTCTCTGCCAGGCTTTGGTATCAGGATGATCCTGGCCTCATAAAATGAGTTAGGGAGGATTCCCTCTTTTTCTATTGATTGGAATAGTTTCAGAAGGAATGGTACCAGCTCCTCCTTGTACCTCTGGTAGAATTCGGCTGTGAATCCATCTGGTCCTGGACTTTTTTTGGTTGGTAAGCTATTAATTATTGCCTTAATTTCAGCACTTGTAATTGTTCTATTCAGGGATTCAACTTCTTGCTGGTTTAGTCTTGGGAGGGTGTATGTGTCGAGGAATTTATCCATTTCTTCTAGATTTTCTAGTTTATTTGCATAGAGGTGTTTATAGTATTCTCTGATGGTAGTTTGCATTTCTGTGGGATCGGTGGTGATATGCCCTTTATCATTTTTTATTGTGTCTATTTGATTCTTCTCTCTTTTCTACTTTAATAGTCTTGCTAGCAGTCTATCAATTCTGTTGATCTTTTCAAAACACCAGCTCCTGGATTCATTAATTTTTTGAAGGGAATTTTGTGTCTCTATTTCCTTCAGTTCTGCTCTGATTTTAGTTATTCTTGCCTTCTGCTAGCTTTTGAATGTGTTTGCTCTTGCTTCTCTAGATCTTTTAATTGTGATGTTAGGGTGGCAATTTTAGATCTTTCCTCCTTTCTCTTGTGGGCATTTAGTGCTGTAAATTTCCCTCTACACACTGCTTTGAATGTGTCCCAGAGATTCTGGTATGTTGTGTCTTTGTTCTCGCTGGTTTCAAAGAACCTCTTTATTTCTGCCTTCATTTCGTTATGTAGCCAGTAGTCATTCAGGGGCAGGTTGTTCAGTTTCCATGTAGTTGAGCAGTTTTGAGTGAGTTTCTTAATCCTGAGTTCTAGTTTGATTGTACTGTGGTCTGAGAGACAGTTTGTTATAATTTCTGTTCTTTTACATTTGCTGAGGAGTGCTTTACTTCCAACTATGTGGTCAATTTTTGGATAAGTGTGGTGTGGTGCTGAAAAAAATGTATATTCTGTTGATTTGGGATGGAGAGTTCTGTAGATGTCTATTAGGTCCGCTTGGTGCAGAGCTGAGTTCAATTCCTGAATATCCTTGTTAACTTTCTGTCTCACTGATCTGTCTAATGTTGACAGTGGGGTGTTAAAGTCTCCCATTATTATTGTGTGGGAGTCTAAGTCTCTTTGTAGGTCACTAAGGACTTGCTTATGAATCTGGGTGCTCATGTATTGGGTGTATATATATTTAGGATAGTTAGCTCTTCTTGTTGAATTGATCCCTTTACCATTATGTAATGGCCTTCTTTGTCTCTTTTGATCTTTGTTGGTTTAAAGTCTGTTTTATCAGAGACTAGGATTGCAACCCCTGCCTTTTTTTGTTTTCCATTGGCTTGGTAGATCTTCCTCCATCCCTTTATTTTGAGCTTATGTGTGTCTCTGCATGTGAGATGGGTTTCCTGAATACAGCATACTGATGGGTCTTCACTCTTTATCCAATTTGCCAGTCTGTGTCTTTTAATTGGAGCACTTAGCCCATTTACATTTAAGTTTAATATTGTTATGTTTGAATTTGATCCTGTCATTATGATGTTAGCTGGTTATTTTGCTCATTAGTTGATGCAGTTTCTTCCTAGCCTCGATGGTCTTTACAATTTGGCATGTTTTTGCAGTGGCTGGTACCAGTTGTTCCTTTCCATGTTTAGTGCTTCCTTCAGGAGCTCTTTTAGGGCAGGCCTGGTGGTGACAAAATCTCTCAGCATTTGCTTGTCTGTAAAGTATTTTATTTCTCCTTCACTTATGAAGCTTAATTTGGCTACATACGAAATTCTGGGTTGAAAATTCTTTTCTTTAAGAATGTTGAATATTAGCCCACACTCTCCTGGCTTGTAGAGTTTCTGCTGAGAGATCAGCTGTTAGTCCGATGGGCTTCCCTTTGTGGGTAACCTGACCTTTCTCTCTGGCTGCCCTTAACATTTTTTCCTTCATTTCCACTTTGGTGAATCTGACAATTATGTGTCTTGGAGTTGCTCTTCTCGAGGAATATCTTTGTGGCATTCTCCGTATTTCCTGAATTTGAATGTTGGCCTGCCTTGCTAGATTGGGGAAGTTCTCCCAGATAATATCCTGCAGAGTGTTTTCCAACTTGGTTCCATTCTCCCCGTCACTTTCAGGTACACCAGTCAGACGTAGATTTGGTCTTTTCACATAATCCCATATTTCTTAGAGGCTTTGTTCATTTCTTTTTATTCTTTTTTCTCTAAACTTCTCTTCTCGCTTCATTTCATTCATTTTGTCTTCCATCGCTGATACCCTTTCTTCCAGTTGATTGCATCAGCTACTGAGGCTTGTGCATTCATCACGTAGTTCTCATGCTGTGGTTTTCGGCTCCATCAGGTCCTTTAAGGACTCTGCTTGGTTATTCTAGTTATCCATTCATCTAATTTTTTTTCAAGATTTTTAACGTCTTGCCATTGGTTCGAACTTCCTCCTTTAGCTCATAGTAGTTTGATCTTCTGAAGACTTCTTCTCTCATCTTGTCAAAGTCATTCTCCATCCAGCTTTGTTCCATTGCTGGTGAGGAGCTGGGTTCCTTTGGAGGAGGAGAGGCGCTCTGATTTTTAGAGTTTCCAGTTTTTCTGCTCTCTTTTTTCCCCATCTTTGTGGTTTTATCTACCTTTGGTCTTTGATGATGGTGACGTACAGATGGGTTTTTGGTGTAGATGTCCTTTCTGTTTGTTAGTTTTCCTTCTAACAGTCAGTACCCTCAGTTGCAGGTCTGTTGGAGTTTGCTGGAGGTCCACTCCAGACCCTGTTTGCCTGGATATCAGCAGCGGTGGCTGCAGAACAGCAGATATTGGTGAATCACAAATGCTGCTGCCTGATCATTCCTCTGGAAGTTTTGTCTCAGAGGAGTACCCAGCCATGTGAGGTGTCAGTCCGCCCCTACTGGGGGGTGCCTCCCAGTTAGGCTACTCAGGGGTTAGGGACCCACTTGAGGATGTAGTCTGCCCGTTCTCAGATCTCAAGCTGCGTGCTGGGAGAACCACTATTCCCTTCAAAGCTTTCAGACAGAAACATTTAAGTCTGCAGAGGTTACTGCTGTCTTTTGTTTGTCTGTGCCCTGCCCCCAGAGGTGGAGCCTACAGAGGCAGGCAGGCCTTCTTGAGCTGTGGTGGGCTCCACCCAGTTCAAGCTTCCCGACCACTTTGTTTACCGACTCAAGCCTGGGCAATGGTGGGCGTCCCCTCCCCCAGCCTCGCTGCCGCCTTGCAGTTTGATCTCAGACTGCTGCGCTAGCAAGGAGCAAGGCTCTGTGGGCATAGGACCCTCCGAGCCAGGTGTGGGATATAATCTCCTGGTGTGCCATTTGTTGAGTCCATTGGAAAAGCACAGTATTAGGGTGGGAGTGACCCAATTTTCCAGGTGCCATCTATAACCCTTTTCTTTGACTAGGAAAGGGAATTCTCTGACCCCTTGTGCTTCCCGGGTGAGGCGATGCCTCGCCCTGCTTCAGCTCACACAGGGTGTGCTGCACCCACTGTCCTGCACCCACTGTCTGGCACTCCCCAGTGAAATGAACCCGGTACCTCAGTTGGAAATGCAGAAATCACCCGTCTTCTGCGTCACTCATGCTGGGGGCTGTAGACTGGAGCTGTTCCTATTTGGCCATCTTGGCTCCACCCAAAACATTGATTTTTAAAAAGATAAACAAAATCAACAAACCATTAGCTAAAGTAACTAAAAAGATATAAGAGAGAATACCCAAATAAATGAAATAAGATACAAAAAAAAGGAGACATTAAAACTGATACAGAAATAAATGCCAAAAAATTGAAAAACCTAGAGAAAAATGGAAAAAATTCTGGACCTATACAACTTACCAAGATTGAACCAGGAAAAAAGAGAAAACCTAAACAGCTAATCATGAGTAATGTGATTGAATCAGTAATAAAACGTCTCCCAAGAAAAACAAAGCCCAGGATTGATGACTTCACTGCTGAATTCTACCAAACTTTTAATTAAGAACTAACACCAAGATTTCTCAAACTATTCCCATAAAATTAGGGGGAATACATTTTTCTTTTTTTTCAAGATCGTGTCTCACTCTGTTGCCCAGGCTTGAGTGCAGTGGCATGATCTCGGCTCACTGCAACCTCCACCTCCCGGGTTCAAGTGATTCTCCTGCCTCAGCCTCCCAAGTAGCTGGGATTACAGGTGCCCAACACCACACCCTGCCGATTTTTGTATTTTTAGTAGAGACAGGGTTTCACCATATTGGCCAGGCTGTTCTCAAACTTGTGACCTTGTGATCTGCCCATCTCAGCCTCCCAAAGTGCTGAGATTACAGGCGGGGGGAAGAAATTTTTCAAAAGTCATTCTACAAGGCCAGGAACACTCAGATACCAAAACCAGACAAGGAGGCAACAAAAAATAAAATTACAGGTCAATATTTATGATAAACATAGACACAAAAATATCAACAAAATATTAGCAAACCAAATCCAACAAAACATTAAAAAGATTACACACCATGATCAAGTGGGATATATCCAGGGAAGCAAGGATAACTAAACATATGTAAATCAAAAAACATGATAAATCACATCAATAGAATGAAGGACAAAAACCTTATGATAATCTATATGAATGTAAAAAAAAGACAGTTTTAATAAAACTCAACATCCCTTCATGATTAAAAACTTGCAACAAACTAGCTATAGAAGAAATGTACCTCAGTACAGCAAATCCAAAGCTAACACTATACTGAATGGGTAAAAGTTGAAAACACTCCAAGAACTGGAACAATACAAAAATATTTTTTCCACTTTTCCATTTTCACCACTGTTATTCAATATGATACTGAAAATCCTATCCAGAGCAATTAGGCAAGAGAAAGAAATAAAGAATATTCGAATTGGAAAAGAGGAAGTCTTTTTCTTGGTCTTATATGTAGAAAAACCTAAAGATTCTGCCAAAAACAACTCTTAGAACTGATAAACCTGTAAAGTTGCAGGATATAAAATCAAGGTACAAAATTTACTAGCATTTCTGTGCACCAATAACAAACTAGTTGAAAAAGAAATCAAAAGTCCATCCCATTTAAAATAGCTACCATAAAAAATACCTAGGAATAAATTTAACAAGGAGATGAAGGATTTCTACAAAGAAAACTACAGAATACTGATAAAAAGAAATTGAAGGGAACAAAAAAAATTGAAAGACATCTCATGTTCATAGATTAGAAGAATTAATATTATTAAAATGGCCATACTACCCAAAGCAATCTACAGATTCAATGCAATCCCTATCAAAATACTAATGACAGGCTGGGTACAGTGACTTACGTCTATACTCCCAGCACTTTAGGAGGCTGAGGCAGGAGGATCACTTGAGCCCAGGAGTTTGAGACCAACTTAGACAACATAGCAAGACCTGGGCAACACAGCAAAAATTAGCTGGGCAGTGTGGTGCATGCCTGTAATCCCAGCTACTCAGGAGGATTAAGTGGGAGCATCATTTGAGCCTAGGAGGTCAAGGCTGTAGTGAAATATGATTGTGCCACTGTACTCCAACCTGGGCAACAGAGCAAGACCAACTCTCTCGAAAAAAAAAAAATTACCTTCTTCATAGAAATAGAAAAAAAAATCCTAAAATTTGCATGGGAACACAAAAGACCTCAAAGAGCCAAAGCAATCCTGAGCAAAAAGATCAACGCTGGAGGCATCACACTATCTAACTTCAAAATGTACTACAAAGCTATAGTAAACAAAATAACAGACACATAGACCTATGAAACAGAGAAAATATAAATTAATCTGCATATTTATAGCTAATTGATTTTTGACAAGATGCCAAGGACATAAAGGGGAAAGAAAAGTCTCTTAAATAAATGGTGCTAGGAAAACTGGATATCCATATACAAAAATGAAACTAGATCCCTCTCTCACCATATACAAAAATCAACTCAAAATGGACTGAAGACTTAAATATAAGACCTGAAACTATAAAATTCCAGGAAGAAAACATAGGGGAAATGCTTCAGGACATTTGTCTGGGTAGAGGTTTTATGGAGAAGAGCTCAAAAGTACAAGCAACAAAAGCAAAAATAAACAAGTGGGATTGTATCAAACTAAAAAGCCTCTGCACAGCAAAGGAAACAATCAACAGAATAAAGAGACAATTTATAGAATGGGAGAAAATATTTGCTAGCTATCCAACAAAGAATTAATATCCAGAATATACAAGAAATTCAAACAAGACAACAGCAGGAAAAAAAATCTGATTTTAAAATGGATAAATCTTCTGAATAGATATTTCTCAAAAGAAGACATGTAAAAATATGTATATGAAGTATACTTTTTAAATGCTTTGGCTTTTGTGGACCATCATGGGGATGGGAGGAAGGATTACATTACAGCTCCAACTCAGATGGACAGAGCAGCATGCAGAGGTTCACATTGTGAATTTTAGCTCTAGAATGACTACAGGAACAAACCAGGAATCCCGAGAGGACCCTGAAGGAAATACATTGCTCCTGCAGGACCTGGGGAGTGTGAGTGCCCAAACTGCAGAAGTGGGAAATGGAGATTGTCTGCCCCTGAACACACACACACCCCCACAGGGGAATATGAAGGTCTAGTTTGCTGGAGAAGTTTCTGACCTTACCTAGAGCTGAGTCAATTTAGAGAGTCGAGCAAAATATGGTGGTAGAGGAAGCAGTAGAAAGTGCCCTAGGAGCTCTCTGGGTCCCTAAGCAGGACATTCCTGCCTGACACCACAGGAATCCTTTGGGAGGGTGACCAGAGGCGCAGGGAAAACACCACAAGGAGAAGGAAGTCTCCAGTTCAACTTTGTAATAATTTGAACCTGGGGAGAAGCCTCCTGGCCAGAACTCGGGGGAGGGCATGAATCCAGCGTGCAGACTCCACAGGTGTGGGGCAGGGGGTGAGGGGGTGTGGGAAGTGGGGGGAAGAACTAAAGCCCTTTTCTTTCACAGCTGGGAGGTGGGTAGCCTGGGGCAAGCTCTCAGCCCAGCTTGCCCACTGCCTAGAAACAGACTTGGTGCTGTTAGGGGGACCATGGTGGGAGTGAGACTGACCCTTCAGATTGTGTGGCACCTGGATGAGGCCTGTGACTGCTAGCTTTCCCCCATTTCCCTGAAAGGCTGCATGACTCAGCAGAGGCAGCCATAATACTCCTAGGAACATAATTCCGTTGACCTAGGAACCTCACCCCCACCCCCCACAGCAACCACAGCAAGACCCACCCAAGGAAAGTGAGCCCAGACATGCCTATCCCTGTGCCACCTGATGGTCCATCCCTACCCACCCTGGTAGTTGAAGACAAAGGGCATACACTCTTGTGCGGGGCACAGTGGCTTACACTTGTAATCCCAGCACTTTGAGAAGGTGAGGTGGGTGGATCACCTGAGGTCAGGAGTTGGAGACCAGCCTGGCCAACATGGCAAAACCCCATCTCTACTAAAAATACAAAAATTAGCCAGGTGTGGTGGCAGACACCTGTAATCCCAGCTACTCGGGAGGCTGAGGCAGGAGAATCGCTTGAACCGAGGAGACAGAGGTTGCAGTGAGCTAAGATGGCACTACACTCTAGCCTAGGTGACAGAGTGAGACTCTGTCTCAAAAAAAAAAAAAAAAAAAAAAAAAAAAAAAAAAAAAAAGACAAAGGGCATATTATCTTGAGAGTTCTAGGCCCCTGCCCACCACCAGTTTTTCTCCAAACTACCACAGCTGATGCTCTCTGGAAAGTGCCACCTCCCAGCAGGAGGCCAATTGGCAAAAAATAGAACATTAAACCACCAAAGCTAAGAAACCTCACAGAGTCCATTGCACCCCATCACCTCCACCAGAACAGGTGCTGGTATCCATGGCTGAGAGACCCATGGAAGTTCACATCACAGGACTCTGTGCAGACAACCCCTCTGCTGTACCAGCCCAGAGCCTGGTAGACCTGCTGGGTGACTAGACCTGAAAGAGAGATAACAATCACTGTAGCTTGGCTCTCAGGAAGCCACATCCATAGGAAAAAGGAGGAGCACTACATCAAGGGAATACCCTGTGGGAAAAAAGAATCTGAACAACAGCCTGAACCCTAAACCTTCCCTCTGACAAAGCCTACCCAAATGAGAAGGAACCAGAAAACCACCTCTGGTAATATGACAAAACAAGGCTCTTTAACAGCTCCCCATAATCACACTAGCTCACCAGCAATGGATCCAAACCAAGAAGAAACCCCTTGATTTACCTGAAAAAGAATTCAGGAGGTTAGTTATTAAGCTAATCAGGGAGGCACCAGAGAAAGGTAAAGCTCAATGTAAGGAAATTCAAAATATGATATGAGAAGTGAAAGGAGAAATATTCAAGGAAATAGCATAAAGAAAAAACAATCAAAACTTCAGGAAACACTGGACACACTTATAGAAAAGGAAAATGCTCGATGGATTAAAGACTTACATGTTAGACCTAAACCATAAAAACCCTAGAAGAAAACCTAGGCAATACCATTCAGGACATAGGCATGGGCAAGGACTTCATGTCTAAAACACCAAAAGCAATGGCAACAAAAGTCAAAATTGACAAATGGGATCTAATTAAACTAAAGAGCTTCTGCACAGCAAAAGAAACCACTGTCAGAGTGAACAGGCAACCTATGGAATGGGAGAAAATTTTTGCAACCTACTTATCTGACAAAGGGCTAATATCCAGAATCTACAATGAACTCAAACAAATTTACAAGAAAAAAACAAACAGCCCCATCAAAAAGTGGGTGAAGGACATGAACAGACACTTCTCAAAAGAAGACATTTATGCAGCCAAAAAACACATGAAAAAATGCTCATCATCACTGGCCATCAGAGAAATGCAAATCAAAACCACAATGAGATAACCATCTCACGCCAGTTAGAACGATGATCATTAAAAAGTCAGGAAACAACAGGTGCTGGAGAGGAAGTGGAGAAATAGGAACACTTTTACACTGTTGGTGGGACTGTAAACTAGTTCAACCATTGTGGAAGTCGGTGTGGCGATTCCTCAGGGATCTAGAACTAGGAATACCATTTGACCCAGCCATCCCATTGCTGGGTATATACCCAAAGGATTATAAATCATGCTGCTATAAAGACACATGCACATGTATGTTTATTGCGGCATTATTCACAATAGCAAAGACTTAGAACCACCCCAAATGTCCAACAATGATAGACTGGATTAAGAAAATGTGGCACATATACACCACGGAATACTATGCAGCCATAAAAAAGGATGAGTTCATGTCCTTTGTAGGGACATGGATGAAGCTGGAAACCATCATTCTCAGCAAACTATCGCAAGGACGAAAAACCAAACACCGCATGTTGTCACTCATAGGTGGGAACTGAACAGTGAGAACACGTGGACACAGGAAGGGGAACATCACACACTGGGGACTGTTGTGGGTGGGGGGAGGGGGGAGGGATAGCATTAGGTGATATACCTAATGCTAAATGACGAGTTAATGGGTGCAGCACACCAACATGGCACATGTATACATATGTAACAAACCTGCACATTGTGCACATGTACCCTAAAACTTAAAGTATAATAATAAAAATAAAAATAAATAAATAAATAAAATTTAAAAAAAAGAAAATGCTCTGGAAAGTCTCAGCAATAGAATTGAACAAGTAGAAGAAAGAAATTCAGAGCTCCAAGACAAGGTCTTTGAATTAACCCAATCCAACAAAGGAAAAGAATAAGAAAATATAAACAAAGCTTCCCAGAAGTCTGGGATTATGTAAAACAACCAAACCTAAGAATAATAGGTGCTCCTGAGGAAGAAGATAAATCTAAAAGTTTGGAAAAACATATTTGAGGGAATAATTCAGGAAAACTTCCCCAGCCTTGATAGAGAACTAGACATCCAAATACAAGAAGCACTGTCATCAGGTTATCTAAAGGTAAGACAAAGGAAAGAATCTTAAGAGCTGTGAGACAGAAGCACCAGTTAATTATAAAGGAAAACTTATCAGATTAACAACAGATTTCTTAGCAGAAGCCCTACAAACTAGAAGGGATTGGGGCCCTATCTTCAGCCTCCTCAAACAAAACAATTATCAGTCAAGAATGTTGTACCCAGTGAAACTAGTATCATATGTGAAGGAAAGATAGTCTTTTTCAGACAAACAAATGCTGAGAGAATTCGCCACTACCAAGCCACAACTACAAGAACTGACAAAAGGAGCTCTAAATGTTGAAACAAATCCTGGAAATGCATCAAAGCAGAAACTCTAAACTTCTTTAAAGTATAAATCTCACAGGACTTATAATACGAAAATACAATTTAAAAAGCAAAAACAAAAAACCAAGGCACACACGCAACAAATAGCACGATGAATGGAATGGTACCTTACATTTCAATGCTAACATTGAATGTAAATTGCCTAAATCCTCCACTTAAAAGACACAGAACCACTGAATGGGTAAGAACTCACCAAACAACTATCTGCTGCCTTCAGCAGGCTCACCTAACACATAAGGACTCACATAAAGTAAAGGGGTAGAAAAAGGCATTTCATGAAAATGGACACCAAAAGTGAGCAGGGGTAAGCTATTCTTATATCAGACAAAACAAACTTTAAAGCAACAGCAGTTAAAAAAGACAAAGAGGGACATTATATAATGGTAAAAGGCCTTGTCCAATAGGAAAATAACACAATCCTAAACATATATGCACCTAACAATGGAGCTCCCAAATTTATAAAACGATTACGAATAGACCTAAGAAATGAGATGGATAGCAAACAATAATAGTGGGGGACTTCAGTACTCCACTGACAGCACTAGACAGGTCATCAAGGCAGAAAGTCAACAAAGAAATAATGGATTTAAACTATACCTTGGAACAAATAGACTTAACGGATATATACAGGACATTTCATCCAACAACCACAGAATGCACATTCTGTTCAACAGTGCATGGAACTGTCTCCAAGACAGACCATATGATGGGCCACATAATGAATCTCAATAAATTTAAGAAAATCGAAATTATATCAAGCACTCTCTCAGACCATAGTGGAATCAAACTGGAAATCGACTCCAAAAGGAATCTTCAAAACCATGCAAATACATGGAAATTGAATAACCTGTTCCTGAGTTAGCATTGGGTCAAAAGCGAAATCAAGATGGAAATTTAAAAATTCTTTGAACTGAATGACAATAGTGACACAATCTATCAAAATCTCTAGGATACAGCAAAGGCAGTGCTAAGAGGAAAGTTCATAGCCCTAAATGCCTACTTCAAAAAGACTGAAAAAGCACAAACTGACATTCTAAGGTCACACCTCAAGGAACTAGAGAAACAAGAACAAACCAAACCCAAACCCAAACCCAGCAGAAGAAAGAAAATAACCAAGATCAGAGCAACACTAAATGAAACTGAAACAAAAAAATACAAAATATAAATAAAACCAAAAGTTAATTTTTTGAAAAGATAAATAAAATTGATAGACCATTAGCAAGATTATCCAAGAAGAGAGAAAATCCAAATAACTGCAGTAAGAAACAAAACAGGAGATATTACAACTGATATCACAGAAATACAAAAGATCATTCAAAGCTACTATGAACAGCTTTATGCACATAAACTAGAAAACCTAGATGAGATGGATGAATTTCTGGAAAAATACAACCCTCCTAGCTTAAATCAGGAAGAATTAGATACCCTGAACAGACCAATAACAAGCAGCAAGATTGAAAGGGTAATTTAAAAATTACCAACAAACAAAAGGCCAGGACCAGACGGATTCACCGCAGAATTCTACCAGACATTCAAAGAAGAGTTTTTACCAATCCTTTTGACACTATTCCACAAGACAGAGAAAGAGGGAACCCACCCAAATTCATTCTATGAAGCCAGCATCACCCTAATAACAAAACCAGGAAAGGACATAACCAAAAAAGAAAACTACAGACCAATATCCCTGATTAACATAGATGCTAAAATCCTTAACAAAATACCTGCTAAACAAATCCAACAACATATCAAAAAGATAATTCACCATGATCAAGTGGGTTTTATACCAGGGATGCAGGGATGGTTTAACATATGTGAGTCAATAAAAGTGATACACCACATAAACAGGATTAAAAACAAAAATTACACGATCATACCAATAGATGCAGAAAAAGCATTCAACAAAATCCAGTATCGCTTTACTATTAAAACTCTCAGCAAAATCAGCATACAAGGGACATACCTCAATATAATAAAAGCCATCTGTGATAAACCCACAGCCATTATAATACTGAATGGCGAAAAGTTAAAAGTATCCCTTCTGAGAACTGAAACAAGAAAATGATGCCCATTTTTCACCATTCCTCTTCAACATAGTACTGGAATTCCTAACCAGAGCAATCAGAAAAGAGAAAGAAATATAGGGCATCCAAATTGGTAAAGAGGAGGTCAAACTGTCACTGTTTGCTGACAATATAATTGTTTACCTTGAAAACCCTAAAGACTCCTCCAGAAAGCTCCTAGAACAGATAAAAGAATTCAGCAAAGTTTCCAGATACAAGATTAATATACATAAATCTGTAGCTATTCTATATACCAACATCAACCAAGCAGAGAATCAATTCAAGAACTCAATTCCTTTTACAATAACTGCAAAAAATAAAAATAAAATACTTCTGAATATACCTAACCAAGGAGGCAAAAGACCTCTACAAGGAAAACTACAAAACACTGCTGAAAGAAATCATAGATGACACAAACAAATGGAAACACAGTCCCATGATCATGGATAGGTAGAATCAACATTGTGAAAATAACCATACTCCCAAAAGCAATCTACAAAGTCAATGCAATCCTCATCAAAATACCACCATCATTCTTCACAGACTTAGGAAAAAAAAAAACAATTCTAAAACTCATGTGAAACCAAAAAAGAGCTCACATAGCCAAAGCAAGACTAAGCAAAAAGCACAAATCCGGAGGCATCACACTACCTGATTTCAAACTATACTATAAGGCCGTAGTCACCAAAACAGCATGGTACTGGTATAAAAATAGGTACGTAGAGCAATGGAACAGAATGAGAAACCAGAAATAAACCCAAATACTTACAGCCAACTGATCTTTGACAAAGCAAAAAAAAAAAAAAAATGTGGGAAAAGGACACCCTTTTCAACAAATGGTGCTGGGATAATTGGCTAGCCACATGTGGGAGATGAAACTGGATCCTCATCTCTCACCTTATACAAAAATCAACTCAAGATAGATTAAGAACTTAAATCTAAGACTTGAAACTGTAAAAATTCTAGAAGATAACACTGGAAAAACCCTTCTAAACATTGGCTTAGGCAAGGATTTCATGACCAAGAACCCAAAAGTAAATGCAATAAAAACCATGATAAATAGCTGGAACTTAATTGAACTAAAGAGCTTTTGCATGGCAAAAGGAACAGTCAGCAGAGTAAACAGACAACCCACAAAGTGAGAGAAAAATCTTCACAATCTATACATCTGACAAAAGACTAATATCCCGAATCTACAACAAACTCAAACGCCATCAGCAAGAAAAAACAATCCCATCAAAAAGTGAGCTAAGGACATGAATGAACAATTCTCAGAAGAAGATATGCAAATGACCAACAAACATATGAAAAAATGCTCAACATCACTAAAGATCAGGGAAATCAAAACCACAATGCAATAGCACTTACTCCTGCAAGAATGGCCATAATCAAAAAATCAAAAAACAGTAGATGTTGGCGTGGATGCAGCGATTAGGGAACACTTCTACACTGCTGGTGGGAATGTAAACTAGTACAGCCACTACAGAAAACAGTGTGGAGACCCCTTAAAGAACTAAAAATAGAACTACCATTTGATCTAGCAATCCCACTACTGGGTATCTACCCAGAGGAAAAGAAGTCATTATACGAAAAAAATACTTGCACACTCACGTTTATAGAAGCACAATTCGCAATTGCAAAATTGTGGAACCAACCCAAATGCCCACCAATCAACGAGTGGAATATCTACAATGGAATACTACTCAGCCATAAAAAGGAATGAATTAACGGCATTCCCAGCAACCTGGATGAGATTGGAGACTATTATTCTAAGTGAAGTAACTCAAGAATGGAAAACGAAACATCATATGTTCTCACTGATATGTGGGAGCTAAGCTATGAGAATGCAAAGGCATAAGAATGACACAATGGACTTTCAGGACATGGGGGGAAGGGTAGGAGAGGGGCGAGGGTAAAAGACTACAAATACGGTACAGTGTATACTGCTTGAGTGATGGGTGCACCAAAATCTCACAAATCACCACTAAAGAACTTACTAATGTAACCAAACACCACCTGTACCCCAATAAGCTATGGAAAAAAAAACAAAAATAAAAAATAAAATGCTTAACATCATTAATCATGAGGGGAAATGAAAATCAAAACCACAGTGAGATATCATCTCACCCCAGTTAGAATGACCATTATCAAAGAGACAAAAAATAACAAATGCTGGTGATGATGCAGAGAAAGAGAAACTCTTACTATTGGTAAAAATGAAAATTCTTATGTTATATAAATTCTTATGGAATTTCCCCCATTAAGGAAAACAGAACAGAGGCTGCTTTAAAAACTAAAAATAGAACTACCACATGATCCAGTTATCCCACCACTAGGTATACATACAGAGAAAAGGAAATCAGTATGTTGAGGAGATATCTGACCTCCTATGTTTATTTCAGAACTATTCACGATAACCAAGATATGAAATCAACGTGCATCCATCAGCAGATGAATGGACAAAGAAAATGTGGTATATATACATAATGGAATACTATTCAGTTATTTTAAAAGAATGAAATACTCTCATTCATCATGGCAACATGGATGAGTCTGGAAGACATGTTAAGTGCAGTAAGCCAGTCACAGAAAGATAAATAACCACATGTTCTCACTCATATGTGGAAGCTAACAAAGTTGATTTCACATAAGTAGAAAGTAGAATAGTGGTTACTAAAGACTGGGAAGAGTAGGGGTGCAGGGAAACAGGGATACGTTGGTTAATGGACAAAAATTGCAGTGAGCTAAGAGGAATAAGTTCCAGTGTTCTCTAACATTGTGGGATGACTACAGTCAACAATAATTTATTGTATATTCTCAAATAGATAGAAGATTTTGAATGTTCCCAGCACAAAGAAATGATAAATATTTGAAGTGATAGATATGCTAACTCCCCTGATTTGATCATTATATAGTATATACATGTTCAAAATATCACACTGCTTTCCATAAATATGTTCAATTATTATGTGTCAATTAAAAGTAATACTAATACATTTTCTTTACCTATGGAAAAAATAACCAAAACATGTGACAGAGAAAAATACATTTAAAAGATCAGAAAAAAATTCAACCATTTTAGTAAATATCAAGAAACCATGAAAATTAACATTCTATTTTTATTAATCCTTAGATTTACAAATTGATTTATTAATCCCAAAAACTCAGTTTATTTCATTTGCCCAAAAATTTCCTTTATGTCTCACTCTCAGAAAAGAAAATTTACTTTCTAATAGACAATTCACATTAGAAAAATAAATAAGACCGTTATAGACATTCAGAAATAAATATAAATCAGTTTAACAACTCTCTTACATGGCAAAAAAAAAAAAAACTCTCAAAATGAGTGACTTCCCACAACACACACACATGACTAAATTTCATACTATTGAAAGGAGATATCTCTAAAACCAAGTAACCCATACCAAAGGAAAAAAAAAGTGCAAAAGTTAGAGAAATGGAGAAAGACATGACAGACCACCTAAACATTAGGAAATCAGGTTCACAATAGTATTATGTGAAAAGTAGAAAAAGTTTTAAAAAGAAGCCTTAGCCGGGCACAGTGGCTTACAGGTATAATCCCAGCACTTGAGGAGGCCAAGCAAGGCAGGTGGATCACTTGAGTTCAGGAGTTCGAGACCAGCCTGGGCATCCTGGTGGAACCCTGGCACTACAAAAATACAAAAATAAGCCAGGCATGGTGGCACCCACCTGTGGCCCCAGCTACTCAGGAGGCTGAGGTAGGAGAATCACCTGAGTCTGGGGAGGTCAAGGCTGCATTGAGCTGTAATTGCACCACTACACCCCAGACCGGGTGACAGAGTGAGATCACACCTCAAAAAAAAATTTTTTTTAATTAAACAAATAATAATATAAAGGATAAAATGCATAATGAAAAATATTAGTTTTTTATTAACCAAGAAATTTCTTTGAAATATATAAATTACGTTACATAGATATTGAGGAGAAAAGATTAGCAGTGAGATAATTAAATACATCTAAATCTTTGACTGGAAAGGTGAACAAAAATTAAGACAAAAGGATGCAAATAACATAAACTAATTATGTTGATTTAACAAACTAGATACTCTACAATAAGGGAATATATCTTCCTTCCAGCACTCATAAAAGTCATAAAAATCTGTCATTTATTAAGCCACAATGAATACCTCAATATGCTGCAAAAATAAATGTACAGATCACGTTTCAGAGCATAATGCAATAAAATTTGAAATTAAAGTTTCAAGTTTTAATATATCGACTTCTTAGAAATTATTAATGTTCTCCTGAATAACTTTTGAAAGTGGAAATCAAAATCCTTATTACAAATTATTTCAAGAATAATAAAATTTGAGGCTACTACATTCCAAAATATATGTGAGGTGGTCAAAGCTATATGTATATTAAAATTTAAAACTTTATGTGTCATTACTCAACAAGAAAAAGTGGAAATAAATGTAAGAATTGAAGACAATATTAGAAAAATAATAAACTAAGATAAGCAAAAATTAACAAATCAAAAAGCAAAAAATTAATGAATTGTTAAGTTACCCAAATAACCATTAAATGTAAATGTTTAAAAATACCTATAGAATGCCTAACAGAGGAAGAGACTGAAGCAAATTAAAAATATTGGAAATAAGAATAATTTTTTTACTATAAAGAATACTGTGCATAACTCCAGGCTAATAAATTTGAAAAATCTCATTGAAATAGTTTCTTTTCTAGGAAAAAGTAAGTTAAAATTTACTCAGACACATTGAAAACTTGACTATTTAAATAGCAGAAAAAAAAACAAATAAAATTTCAACCCACATCTTGTATTATATGCCAAAATTAATTTACAATAGGTTAAAAAATTAAAGTTAAAATGTAATTCTTAAAAGAAGAAGAAAATGTATGAATTTTTTAACTTAGATTGTATCAACAATCCTACATATAAGTAAATGCAGAATCCATAAAGGAAAAAACATCTACAGATTTGACTATACTGAATTAGAACTTCAGTATAAAAAAGGCTTTGGAAAGCAAATTTTTAAATTGGAAAAAAGCAGTTTCGATACACATGACAGAAAAAGGTATACTCTTAATATAACAAGAATAAGAAATGGACAATCATTAACAGAAATAAAAATGGCAAAAAATAAAAATAAAATGTTAAACTTCTCTAGCATGCAGCAGGTAAATTCAAATGAAAGTAAGATATTTGCTGCTACTAAATTGATCTTTCAGATGAGAATTCCAGGTTTTAGCAGGAGTATGGAAAAATTGATGCTCTCTACAAAAAATAAACATGTAATTTAAAAAAAATTGTATCCTTTCTGGAAGACAATTTGCCCATTTATATTGGAAGCCTGAAAATGTACATATTCTTTAATCCAACAACTCTACTTGTAGAAATTTATCCTAATTAAATGGGTATGTAAAACTATTTAGAGGGATGTTCATTTCAGTTTTTTAAAACATTGTTTATATTGTGATATATTCAAATGAATTTTTCAAGAATTATATAGAATACTAAATGTCATTTAAAAATTTCATTACGGATTAAGTTTTTAAAGCCCATTTTTAAGAAAAGAGCATCTCAATTATAATTGTATATATTATAATCTTCTCAAAACATGTTATACATTCAGATTCCCAGGCCTACTTCCAGACATACTGAATTAGCCCAAGAGTGGGATTCAGGGATCTGCATTTGTAACACGTTCTATATATAAAGATCTGTATATGATAGAGAAATAAAGACTGAAAGTATATACAGCATGTTTATTTCTGAGTAGAAAGGCAATAATTTTTCTGTGTTCATAATTTGCATGTTTTATATTTTCCATAATGAAATAAAAGTGTTACATTTCTCAATTTAAAAATTACATTATTTAATGTAAATTAACAACACACAGTGGTTTATGGCAAATCAGATAAATAAACCTTAACAACCAGGGATCTGAGTAGTTTGTAGAGAAAAATAATTAAGACAGAGAATACAAACTGGTAGCCCACAAGGTATAAAACATCTTTAATCCAGATGATGTTTAACTGTTTTAAAAGTAATCACCCACATTTAAAAACAGGGAGCTTTCCCTTAATAAATACTAACTGCCATCTTCTTTTGAAAAAAATGAGATCTGACCACACTGGGCCCAGATGGCAATAACTGATTGGGGTAGAGGGGCTCCTCTTTAGATGTCCAAGGGCTCTCCAGTTTACTGTTCCCCACCACTCCCTAGTATCCTCCCAAAGCTGAGGTCAAAGTCAATTGCCACACTTTAAGTCAATCATCACACTTTATCTCTATTTTTTTAATTACTACTGTTTTTACATTTTTGCCTTATCCATAGGTATTTGAGTCTGAGTTCCCTTGATTAAGCAAACACCTAGCCAACCTGTGACAAATACAGGAGGCGAATACGATACTAAAACTTTGCAACTCAGAGTCTCAACCCTGGCTGCACATTGGAACCACCTACAGAGTTTTCTAAAGTCCCATGGCTCAGGCCACACCCCAGACCAATCATATCTGTGCCTCAGGGTGGGACCCCAGCATGCAAGTTCTTAAAGCTTCCCTATTACCCATTGGAGGTAACAGGTAATTCCAATGGGTAGCGCATGCTGAGAGCCACTGGGTAGCCCAGGCTGACAGTCACTGTTCTGGGGGAAAGGGTGCTAATAGAAGGAACCCAGACTGATTTGAGGAGGCCGAGCCATTACTAGCAGGGAGTGTGGAGACAGCCTGGATTCAAAATCCAGCTCTTCCACATACAAACTGTGTATTTAGCAAGCAAGTGTACTTCTCTGAACCTTCATATTCTCATCTACAAGAGAGGAATCATAGTCCCTTTCTTAGAGAATTGCTATGAAGATTAAATGGAATAAGGCCTGCGAAGGGTTCAGCATAGTTCTTAGCTCATAGTAAGTGCTCAATAAATGGAAGCAATAATTAATGTTATCACTAAATATTGTACCAAGTGTAATGGCATAAAGAAGGAAGAGGAGGACATGAGTTACTCACGATAGTTAGGTACTTCTAACTACTTTATATCATTATCTCATTTTGTCGCCTCAACAAATCCAGCAGGAAAGCACTAGAAAGGGGTTAAGAGCTAAATGGAGATAGAAGCGTTTTGTGAGCCATAAAGAGTTTCCCTGACACAGAAGATTTTTAATGTCATTATTATTTGTCTCATTTAACTAAAACCCTCTTGAAGAGAGTCTGCTAATAGTATCTCAGTGATGTTCTCTGCCTCCCCACTCCTGGCCTCCCTGATCTATCTTCATTCCTCACTCATCTGAAAAACAAGTAAAATGAAAGCCTACAGCAAGTGCTTCCTGGCTTTCCTACCTCACTGGCAGAGCAGAAAGTGAACCTGATGAATGAGTATACAGGAAAGTTTCTGGGTTGAAACAAGGAGAAACCATCACCTCAAGCAGGTTGCAACTAAAAGGACCGCCAGAAAGTTCAGGCACATGGACTCCCCACCTGAGGGATGCCTGCACCTTCCTTTCTCTCATTCTTTCCCCTGCTGTCTGCTCTCACCCACCTTGAGTCTCAGGTAACTCTGGGCTTAGGCCTGAGCCTCGCAGCCTGCAGTTGGAAGATTCCAGGTCCTAGTTTAGCTCTGCCATTTATTGCAAGCAAGTCACTTCCTTTTCAGAGACTTTCTCTGTTTTATCATCTGTTAAATGAGAATAATCATCCCAGACCTCTCCATCTACCTTTTATGGGTTTTATGAAGACTGCAGATCAATGGGAGAAAATAAATGAAAATTTATATTATTGGCAAAAAATACAAAGCAAGATATCCGTACCAATGCCATGCATGAACAGTGTTTTTATGTAATGTGGAAGATCCTCATTACCCCTTCGCTTAATAGTAGAGTTTCATTTGGACCTGCATTCCTTTTTTCTTTTGAGACGGAGTCTCGCTCTATCCCCAGGCTGGAGTGCAGTGGCGCTATTTCAGCTCACTGCAAGCTCCACCTCCTGGATTCATGCCATTCTCCTGCCTCAGTCTCCCAAGTAGCTGGGACTACAGGCGCCTGCCACCAAGCCCGGCTAATTTTTTGTATTTTTAGTAGAGACGGGGTTTCACCGTGTTAGCTAGGATGGTCTTGATCTCCTGACCTCGCGATCCGCCCACCTCGGCCTCCCAAAGCGCTGGGATTACAGGCGTGAGCCACCGCTCCCGGCCTGGACCTGCATTTCAACTAATGATAGAATTTTAGATATCTGCAGGGTGACAGAGAAACTAGTTTGGGGTCAAGGGCCATTCTGAAGTCTCTGACATCCTCACCCACATAACCCACCCCCAATTTGCCCATGTTGAGATCTCCTCCAGGTTGACCCAGGGTTATATTACATCATTAATTCACTTCTCAGTGAATTATGAATATAGCTCATAATCATTCTTATGAGTATAGCTTATACTTTTTAAGACCTTTTCTTAAACAGGATCTTATTTTGGTTGTCACCGGGCCCCCCAGAGAAAGACAACAGGTAGATCCTTGTCTCTTTTTGGCAGGTGGAGGCAAAACATACTTGGCAAGATTATACAAGCATTAAATGAAATTATTAATTAGCACAGGCCTGGCACAAGGGCTGCCTGAGTGATGGTCAGGGTCAAGGTGGGCTTTAGCACTCGTAAACCCAATCCCCAGGAGCACCCATACTACTTAGCTCACTAGGATTATCAGAATACCATTATCTTTTACCTCAGCAGCTACAACAGCCCCCTTTCAGTTTCCCCACCTTCAGACTTATCCCAGGAATATGCTCTCCACACTAGGGACCTCACAAATACTCAAGTCTGATTGTCTCACTTCTGAGCTTAAAACCCTTTATTAGCTCCCCATTTCCCCAAGATCAAGTTCAAACTATTAAAAGTGGCTTAAAGAATCCTGTACCATGAGGGTCCTGCCTCTTTCCTACCCCAGTCTCTTCTCTGCAAGCTCCCTATGTCCCAGCCCCTGCTGCTCTTCTCTCAATTCCCTCAATGTGCTGTGCCCCCTCTTATTTCTGGGCCTTTGCACATGCTGTGCCCTACCCAGAATGTCCCCACCACCCTGACTGTCCCTCTCTCCCTCCACCCTACTGGCCTGAAGCCTGACACTTCTAAAGCTTACTCATCCCTCAATATCACTTCCTCTAGGAAGCCTTTTGCAATTCTAGACTAAAGCATATCTCTGCTATGTGCTCCCAGGGCAACTGGCCCTTCCCATCTGAGTATATTTCACACTTTGCTGTGATGGCTTAATCCTCTGTTTGCTTCATTAGATGGTAAGCCATGTGAGGAGAAAGACTATACTGAATCCCCAACACCTAACAAAGGAGGGAAGAAAGGAGGGAGGGAATGCAGGAAGGACAGAGGGAGACAAAGAGGGAAGCAGAGAAGAAACTGCCTTGCCTATCCAAGGTTTTCCTTATTTAAGCCCTTGCTTTTTCCTTATATTTGGGTTTATTCTTCATTTGACCTTTGGAAAAAAAAAATGAAAAATAAGGAATCACCTCCAACAAACTGAAATAGAGGATCATTGTTAAAAAGAGAAGTTAAAGTCTGAAGATTTATTCTTTAAAAATCAGTATCTGTAGGCCGGGTGCTGGGGCTCAAGCCTGTAATCCCAGCACTTTGGGAGGCCAAGGCAGGCAGATCACGATGTCAAGAGATCAAGACCATCTCAGCCAACATGGTGAAGCCCCGTCTCTACTAAAAATACAAAAATTAGCTGGGTGTGGTGGCACGTGCCTGTAGTCCCAGCTACTCGGGAGGTTGAAGCAGGAGAATCGCTTGAACCTGGGAGGCAGAGGTTGCAGTGAGCCAAGATCACGCCACTGCACTCCAGCCTGGCAACAGAGAGAGACTGTGTCTCAAAAAAAAAAAAAAAAACAAACAAACAGTATCTGTGCCTGTTCCTAAGAAACTTACTCATAAAAAATAAGAAAAAATCAAAATCAAGATTCATAATGCCCTCTGAGCCAAGGGTTCCTTTTGAGAAAGCTCCTTGAAACAGCTAATTCCTCACACAGAGAGAAACAGAAGATCCCAGAGCCCTGGCTGAGATATTAACAAATTATCTCAGAAATGAGGTACAATCACCCCTTCTTTTGTGTCTCATGGGAACTGATATTGGCTCCCACCTGCCTGTGCCTCAGTGTTTATGTCCATCTCCACCTGCTATACTAAGAGCAACTGCAGTAAGGACCCAGGCCTGAGCTATGTGTGCCCCCAAGACTCAATACCCTGCCTGACACAGAGTAGGTGTTCAAGAAATGCTTTCTGCATGAGTGAATGAACAACCTTTACTTGTAGTCCTCCTTGAGCAACCTTCCTATGTCCTTCATTCTTTCAATGCCTATTTATTGCATGTCTATTAAGCACCAAATAACAATACCTTATGGAGTTCATAATTTCTTGGAGAAGGTAGATATTAAGCATAAAACTCCAAGTATGCTCAGTGTTTACAAAGAGACATTCACTGTGCATTTGCAGCCTACAAGAGGAATCAATTAAAAGCTGAGACCTCTAAAAGTTGTATGGGATTTAGTCTGGCAACGTCGGGGGATGTGGGAGACAACATTCTAGGAAATGGGGTGAGTATATGAGAAGTGTCCAAATGGAAAAATGTGGCCACACAAGAAGTTCTGAGAGGAAACATCCTCCAAGCCTGAAAGCCAGCACAGTGTGGTGCAGCAGCTTTCATACATCGTCCTAGCAGGGGAGCCCTTTCTTCCAGTAAAATCCTCTGTAGAAACCATTAATATCAAGCATAAAAATAGAGCTGCTCTGGTTGGAGCCACTGCTATGTTTGCCAAGGGAGGCAAATATTTTAGCCCATGGCTCCTCAGACTATAACATGCATACAAATCACCTGGGATCTTGTTAAAAGGCAGATTCTGACTCAGGAGTTCTAGGGTGGGACCCAAGATTTTGCATATCCAGCAGCCTCGGTGATGTTGTGGCTGGTCCACCAGCATCTCTTTCAGCAGCAAGATCCCAGAGACTGAAAAACAGTTAACCAGGAATGAAGAGAAAGCTCAGGATGGCCACGTGGCCTCTTCAGATCTGAAGGTCTGTAACAGGGTGTGTTAAAATGGTGTAAGACCACCTGTTAGAATAGCTATCATTAAAAAAAGAGACAAGCTGGTGAGGATGTAGAGAAAAGGGAACTCTTTATACAGTTGGTGGGAACATAAATTGAACAGCCGTTATGGGAACCTGTATGGAGCTTTCTCAAAAAAAAAAAAGTAGAACTATCAATATGATCTAGCAATCCAATCTCTGGGTATGTATCCAAAGGAAATAAAATCAGGATCTTAAAAAGATATTTGCACTCCCATGTTCAACACCACATTATTCACAATAGCCAAGATATGAAAACCTAAATGTCTATCCACAGATAAATGGATAAAGAAATTGTGGTATATGTACATAGGCAATGGAATATTACTCAGCCTTAAAAAAAAGGAAATCCTGCCACTTACAACAACACGGATAAACCTGGAGGACGTTATGCAAAGTGAAATAAGCCAGACACACAGAAAGACTAATACTGCATGATCTCACTTATATGTGAAATCTAAAATACTGAAACTCATAGAAGCACAGAGTAGAACCGTAGTTGCCAGGGGCTGAAGGGAGGGAGAAATGGGGAGATGTTGGTCAAAGGATACAAAGCTTCAGTTATATAAATTAAGTTATTATATATGAGTTCTGGAGACCTAACATCCAGCAATGTCACTGTAGTTAACAGTACTGTACTATATACTTGAAAAGTGCTAAGGGGATAGATCTTAAATGTTCTCACCATGCAAAAAGTAATCATGACCATGCAAGGTCATAAATATATAAATTAGCTCAATTTTGGTGACCTTTTCACAATGTATACATATATCAAAACACTGCATAGTATGCTTAAATATATACAACTTCTATTTGTCAATTATACCTCAGTTTTTAAAAGTAAATGTGTGGATCTGTACATAAACTTGAGACATTGTGAGTTGAGGGTCTGAGCATATTGCTATTGAAGTTGTGTGTATGTGTTCAAATCTTCTTCCGTGTGTGTGCACATGCGTGTGTGTGTGTATATATATACACCTCAACCAATGCTCACAACAGAATAAGACTGACGGGCACTATAAATAGTTCCTGGGAGCTACAGCAGCATAATCCGGATTTAGAAGAAAATCAATTATTTGATCTATCACTGATGTCAGCAGGTTATCCACAATCCACCCTACTCTTGCCCTGTTATTTCAGTGTCACGAATGAAAAAGAGAAAGAGATACTCAGAGTAAGGCTTCAGCTTCTTGGGAAGGAGTTACGATATGTGCCTCAAAAAGGATTGTCTCTCTACCCAAGTATTGATTAAAAGGTCTCACTGTACCCCATAGGTGTCCCAAAATGGCATATAATCATAGGGTGTCTGTGCCGGGGGGGTAGAGGGCTAGGACAGCCTTGGGATTTCATGGCTATTTGTAGGTCCCCCTGCCCAAAGCTGCCACTCCACCACCTGTTACAATGCCTAAAACCACGCTATTGAAGTTTGTGCTCTTATAATCTAAAGATTTCCAGCCTTAGGATTTTCATTCATCTGTGTGGGATAATACTTTAAGCTTCTATTGTGTAATTCTTTAGGGAGTTTGAAGACCAGTAAGTCAAGGCAAGGCCTTATGGAATGAGACCCTGGATATGAGCCACTGGTTCTATAAAACCACCTAAAGAGCAAATGTGATCCTTGGTTGTGTCAATAAGAGTAAAGGGTACAAATTAAAGGAGATGATGATCCCAAAGAATTTCATGTATTCAGAACCTATGGAATAGCCAGAGTGATCACAAAAGGCAAACCTTTGCCTTGCTTCTCCACAACTTAAAGCCTTTGTAAACCAAAAATAAAATTTGAAGCCCCCCAATCAACTGAATGAACCCCTCCCCTCGGCAAGGGCATTCCAAAGTTAACCTGAAAAACTAGTTCAGGCCCTGATAGTAAGGGGAGGCCTGATTGCATCATTATACCCTCCTCCCTTTTGGAATTACTGATAGAGGCCGGGCACGGTGGCTCGCACCTGTAATCCCAGCACTTTAGGAGGCCAAGGAGAGTGCATCACTTGAGGTCAGGAGTTGGAGACCAGCCTGGGCAATGTGGTAAAACCATGTCTCTACTAAAAATACAAAAATTAGCCAAGTGTGGTGGCAGGCACCTATAATCCCAGCTACTCGGGAGACTGAGGCAGGAGAATTGCTTGAACCTGGGAGGCAGAGGTTGCAGTGAGCCAGGATAGCACTACTGTACTCCAGCCTTGGTGACAGAGCAAGACTCTGTCTCAAAAAAAAAAAAAGAATTACTAATAAATTACTAATAGAACAGACTCTTTATGTCTGATAAGAAATATTTACAATCTATTCTCTCTGAAGCCTGCTACCTGAAGGCTTTATCTGCATGATAAAACTTTGGTCTCTACCACCCCTTATTGTAACCCATTCTTTTCTATTGATAATAACTCTTTCAACAAATTGCCAGTCAGAAAATCTTTAAATCTACCTATGACCTGGAAGCTGCCCCACCCCACCCCCACCACTTCAAGTTGTCCCACCTTTCCAGACCAAACCAATGTATGTCTTACAGGTATTGACTGATATCTCAGGTCTCCCTAAAATGTATAAAACCAAGGTGTACCCTGACCACCTTGGGCACATGTTGTTAGGACCTCTTGAGGCTATGTCAGGAACACATCCTTAACCTTGGCAAAATAAACTTTCTAAATTGATTGAGACCTATCTCAGATACTTTTGATTTACACCTCTTAGCATCTGGCCATTGCTCTTACAGAACCCAAAGTCTTCAAATGACCTGTGAGATCCTGTAGCATGCAGCCCCATTCACCACTCTGGTGTATGTCTCCTGCTGCTCATTGCCTCACTAAGCTCTACCCGTACTGGCTTTCTTTTGTTCCTACCACATGCCAAGTACCTTCCCTTCCTCAGGACCTTTGCACATGCTGTTTCCTCTGCTTGGACTGCTCACCACTCTCCTCTCTCTCTTCACTGAGCCAACTCCTGTTCACCCTACATGTCTCAGCTTAAATGCTACTTCCTTAGAGGAGAATTCCATGCTTCCACAACTCCACAGTCCATGCACCTGAGCATCTTTTTCTCTGCCATTGTAGTAGTAGTTGTAGTACTGTAGTAGTAACAGCAGCTAACATTTTCTCAGGGTTTATGACATGCCAACTTTGGTTCTAGGTACTTTTCATTTTTAACTCCTAATAACAACCCTAATGAAGTAGCTATTATTACTCCCCCCTCCCCCACTCAGCAGATAGGGGAACTCTGGGCCACAAAAGTCAAACAACTTACCGAACAGCTCCAAAAGGTAAATGGTGGGGCTGGAGTTCAAACTCACCAAGTGGGGCTTCAGAATTATTTACTCAATGAATGTTTTCTCCATAGTACTCAGAGGCCAGGAATCAGGTCTTGCTTAACACCCCATCACCAGTATGCAGCACAAAGCCTGGCACATGGTAGGTACTATATAAATATTTGTTGAATAAGTAAATGAATGAATAAGTTAGGATGAAGCCCAAGGATAATAATCTAGATGGTGAGAGGTCTGGAAATTATAAGAGAAATGGCTGGCCGGGCGCGATGGCTCATGCCTGTAATCCCAGCACTTTGGGAGGCCGAGGCGGGCGGATCACAAGGTCCGGAGATCGAGACCATCCTGGCTAACACGTTGAAACCCCGTCTCTACTAAAAATACAAAAAAAATTAGCCGGGCGTGGTGGCGGGCGCCAGTAGTCCCAGCTACTCAGGAGGCTGAGGCAGGAGAATGGCGTGAACCCAGGAGGCGGAGCTTGCAGTGAGCCGAGATCGCGCCACTGCACTCCAGCCTGGGTAACAGAGCAAGACTCCATCTCAAAAAAAAAAAAAAAAAAGAGAGATAAATGGCTGAGGGTGAAGAGAATGCTTAACTAAGAGAAAAGATGCAGGGCTGACTTAACAAGTGAGAAGGAAACAAAATTCTTCTGAGCGGCTGCAGAGGGCAGGGCCAGAAACAATGAGTAAAAAGCAGAGGAAAGAGATTTCAACTCAGTAAAAAGACCATCACTCAACAGAGGCCAAAGTATAAGTGCTTCCTTTAGGTAGTGGAGGGCCCCATCACAGTAAGTATGCAAACACAGGCTACAACAACATTGGATAGGAAAGCACCTGGAAGGAGTCAAGCTTCAAACTGCATCGGTTCTGTGTGTGTCCCCACCCCTAACAGGCTAAGAACCTGTGAGTCCATACACCCCTCTTTGCACCCCTTATCCCTAGACATTCCAAAGGAAAAATTTTAGCAGGGAAATACACCCACAGGGGTTGTCATAATTTGCTCCTAGCTGAAAATAGAAAGATGGACTGGAGTCATAAAAAATACAATAGCAAAAGGCTCTCCCTTATTGTGAGAGCCACTAGGCCCAGGATCAAAGTTGGACTCAGATGAAACAATGAGGCCATTTCCTACCCCAGCAAAACTGCAGTCAGGTTATTCCACGGCTCAGCTGCCCTGCCTCTCTCAGATCACAGCACCGCTCTCACGGATGAAAGGGACAGTCTGGTGTTCCTTGAAGCTTATGGCTGGGTACCTTTCATTTGCATTTAATTGAATAGAGCAGGCGACAAAAAGGTGCTCCTACTAGATGACCTTTCAGGGCCTTCCCTGCTTATATTTTGATTTTGTGAATTGAATTAGGTTGAATTGGAGCATGTCAGAAGTAGGAGGGAACTTAAATATCATCTAATCTACTCTCTTTGCATTAGAGAGAAGGAAATTCAGGCACAGAGAGGGGAGATAGCTTGTCCAAGGTTACACAAAAAATCCTAGAAAAATTGGAACTCAACCACTTATCTCCCGACCTCTAGTTTGCATTCTATCTTTCTCCATTTCTCCAAGAGAGTTTTCGGAGAGTTGGTGCTTTCTGAGATAACGCAGGCCCCATATATCCAGCTTCTTTGGCATCACCTATGTGGAGAGCCATTGGCATGGATTTACTTGGTGGAGGCTCCACTTGGAGCCAGGAATTAACTCCCAATGCCTAAATAATTTTTTCACAAAGACTAGGTAATTTGGTTTTCTCTTATCCAAGCCAGGTGATCTGGAAGCAGGAGCAGAATGGAGACCAGAAAGGCATGTGCCCAAATGACCTACATGACACCTGTCAGCATTCTGATTTGTTTGGAGACTGGGTCACAAAACTGTTACATTGAAACAAAAACAAACAAAAATATCTAGAATGAGTACGCTGAAAATAATCTTAAAGATTTCCCAATCCTGTGATTCCCCAAGTACTACTTCCTGGATGTGCCAAGTTGACATAAAAAAAATAAAGGAAATGTTTAATAATATTTCTATGTACGCATACAAATGTATGCACACTTTTCCTGAGATAGGCCATCCTTTATTCTGAGATTAAGTTTTTCCTTCTTTTATAGTTATAACATATCCTTTATTTTATAAAATTATAGTGATGATTAGCTTTCTATCTTGAATTTAATATTCTTACCTGGCAAAATGAAAATTGACAACAAAGTTGACAACATGTGTCGGGTTCTCTCAATTTTTTAGAAATTTTAGAAATCCACAAAGTCTTGAAACTACAGTCTTCCTTTTTACAACTGTGAGACTAGAGGACCCTGGAATAAAACCGTGTTTCCAAGTTCTTACAGTCTGTTACAAACCAATTCCAAAGCTTCAGGAGCCGTCAAGCTACTCTAATCCTAACTCAGCATTAAAATTGCTGTGGGATCCTGGGCAAATTGCTTAATTTTGAGTCTCTACTTTCACATCTAGAAAGTGGACACAATAATCCCTGCCCTGACTTCTTCACAGGTAGCAGAAGGTCAGCATGTGTGAAAGCGCTTTGAATGTAACGAGATAGCATAATCAGCTCTGTGCAAGCAGTTGCAAACCCTTGGTGCTTGCAGGGCAGACAGGAAATAGGAACAAGTGAAGCAGGCCAAGTGTGAGTGAACAGACGGCAGCTACCGCTCAGCCTCAGTACTGAGAATGCAATGAGGCAGGGTGGGGAGTGGGGCAAACTAGCAAGTTCAGCATCTGAAGGGAGGAGAGTGGCTACCCCAGCCAATTTTTGCCATGTTTTAATGTGGGTCCAATGTAACCAGATATTCTCATTTTCAGAAATACTGGAACCTTACATTTTTATGTGCTATGTTTTGATTTATAAACATTGGCCACAAATTCAAACTTCAAAAAATTGTGAGAGACAAACAAAACTTACCATATGGGGATTGCCTGTATGTAAGCCCCTGGTCTGACTCCACACCTATCTTTTTCTGAAAGTCCCATGGGCAGGTCATATTAGAAAGTGCCAAAGCAATCTTTATTGCCTAACAAGAACACAGCTCAAGAAAAAACTGAACAATACAAATTTGCAATGAAGACCAGCCCCCAAGGGTCGATATACACATTTCAGGGTTAGGCAAGGGATAAAGCTGGTTGAAGAAATACTTCATGAACTAGGACAACACTCTCTATAAAAGCTCACCCACTAGTTTAACATTCTCGATCAGTTCTCTGTCCTCTTACCCAATTTTAAACAAAATTTCCTCATCCTAAAAATGGGGCAAATTACACATGTTAAATTATACATATCTAATATATCTACTTATATGAGACTTTGTGTATAATTTGACAAAACAAGGATGGTAAATACGCAGCAAGATTGTTTTGTTCCTGATAATGAGGATGAAGATAACTAACTGCACGGCAGGCATAGTTCAAAAAGCTCTTTAAATTATTAATTAATTTGATCCTCATGGCAACTCAATAAGGTAGATACTCCTATCATCAGCATTTTACAGACATGAAAACTGAGGCACAGAAAGGTTAAGTAACTGCTCAAGGTTACACAGCTGAAAAGTGCCAGCACTGGAGTCCATTGATTGCAGCCTTCTTTCCTGCTGTGCGTCAGAATCCTTGTCAATAGAGTGATCCAAGAGGCTCCTACCCACTGATCAAGTTATCAGGCAGTTAAAATCTGTCTTCCCAACTCCAGCCCAATGTAATGCCTGGCACAGAAGAGATCCTATTACCCTTATTAAATACCGGCTCCCTTCCTCATACTTCATACTTTTTCATAAAGACCAAATCATAGGATGTGTGTAAGGCAGGGTATCTCAACCTCAGCACTGTTGACATTTTGGGCCACAGTTCTTTGTTGTTGGGGGCTGGTCTGTGCATTTTAGGGAGTGTGGCAGTATCCCTGGTCTCTACCCACCAGACAGCAATATCACACTCACCTATCACCCATCCCCCATGACAACCAAAAATGTCTTCAGACATTGTCAAATGTCTCCTGGGGGACAAAACTGTCTCCAGTGGAGAACCACTGGTATAAGGTATGATTAGTCAAACTCCTCCTCCTGTACCCACAGTGATTCACCCGCTTCCCCTGGCTTCTCACAGCTGCCGAGTCCCACCCCATACTGTGAGTTATCTTCACCCCTCACTGTGGAATAACAGGCATCTCCCCAGGAACTGCCTACTCCACTGTTCTAAAACAGTTCCCTGAGAACTTTCCATTTTAAGGGTTTCATTGTTAATTCCTGTAGGAAATGGTTGAGGTTTGGGGGGCAACAAACAAGACAGGAATGGGGAAATAAAAGTTCCAGAGTTCTCATAACAGTAGAAACTTGTTAGACTTTCTATTAAGTTGGTGCAAAAGTAATTGTGCCCTTTGCCATTGAAAGTAATGGAAGAAACAGCAGTTACTTTTGCACCATTCTAATACCTCATAGGGTGGATATCCTAGCCAGAGCCCTTTCAAACCATTATCCAAAGGGTGGTTTGGAAGAGCTCAGCAAAGGCCCAGCATATGAGAAGCACTCAGGTAAATTATAACTATAAACAGTAATGACCTTAAATTATTGTCTCTTCATTCGACAGTCTCGCTATGCCTACCAGGTGCCAGCAATTTTGTAATTGCTTTACTTACATTAACCTACCCCTAATACTGACAAGGGAGGAACTATCACTACATGGGCAGTTTACAGATCAAAAAATTGAGCTTCACTGCAGCTGAAAAACTTGCCAAGCTCAAACTAGACAGTGGGAGAACATGACCCAAGCCTGCCACCCCCCAGCAGACAGAAGGTAGCTTGGACGGCAAGAAGAGGTTCACAACCCAGCTCTGCCATTCACTCTTCAGTGGCCTGGAGCCCATAAGTCAACCTTTCTGGGACCCATGTCCTCATGTATAAAACAAGAGGCCAGATGAGAGTTCGTCTGGCTCTAAAATTTCATAACCCTCATCCATTATTCTCTCTCTTCTTAAACCTTCTTCCAACACAAATGATGATAATTCGTCATTAAATTAGGATTTCAAAAAAAGTTGTTTAAGAAGAAAAAAAGATTGTCTCAAACTGAATGTTTCTTAGTATAAAACTCCATTTTCTCACTAAATACCGGATTAATGCTGTTTAAATTGCATTGCTGGAATGAGTCGGGGAGGGGAGAATTAATGAACTTCTACTAAGCAAAAATGTTCATCAGCTGGAGAAGATCTAAATTAATGAGGAAGAAACACTAAAAAACAGTCATGGCAGGCCAGCTTTCTCTAGAATTATATTATTAACAAAATGCAATGAAACGGCAATTGGTTTGAAGTGGAGAACAAAGAACAATCAAGGAGAAATGCAGTGGCCTGTTTCATTCATAGCATCCCCGAAATGTAGAGTGGGAAGGAAACCCTGGTGAGTTTATCCTTGATAAGTAACCAAAATAATACTAAGAGCAACTGTTAAGGATTTTACGTATATTATCTCATTTAACCCTCACAATCCAGTAGTGTAAGCTCTGTCTCCATTTCACCGCTAAGGCAAGTACATCCAGAGATGTTTACTTCTTGCCCACACAGCACAGCCAGTATTTAAACCCAGATTTAACATCAAATCCTGTTCCCACAACCTCCACACCACATACTGCTTTACTTTGGCTAGCCTCTGGTTGAATATCTCAGCTGCCAGGAGATTTACTACCTCACAAGGTGGCCCAATTCAGCATCTTCCCGAATTGAATATTCCTCCTTGTAACTTTGTCCAAAAGACCTCCAGGGGTGTCCAAGGGAGAAAATACAATTATGGGTTCTTAGTTTCTGATTCTGGTTAGGCCACCAAAACCCCTCCCTCATCCCTCTTTTTCACTTATCACTAGAGACAGAAACTAAAAACCATGGCTTTCAGGCTGCTAAAAGTCTAAAACAAAACAAAACAGAACAACAATAAAAATAAGGCAGGTTGGGCAAGCTTGATAGACTCTGACCCCACCTCCACTCACCCACAGTGTGTTCCATCATCTCCTCCTTCCCTATGGCAGCCCTTCAGAAGTTTAAAGTCATTGATCACCGTGAACATTCTTACCTCCAGGGGAAAAGCCTCTCTCATCCTTTTCCTTGTTCTCCATATGGCAAGGTCTTCAGCTCCTTCCTCTCTTACTCACATTCTTCAGAACACACTCAGGTTTGACAATGAGATTCTTAGAGAACTGAACCCATATTTCCAAGTGTATCCCAGCCAGAAGAGAATGCAGAAGGACCATCTCCTCCCTTATTCTAGGCTTGCTACTTCTGTTAATGCACTCCAAGAGCGGCTCATCTGTATCAGCAGCCGGGTCACATATTGGCTTATGATGGACTTGCTCCCAAATAGCTAGGACCTCTCTAGATATTTTTCACACATGGCCTTCTTAGCTAGTGTGTGATCAGCTGAATTGTTCAACAATTAGTTGGTTCTAAGCAGAATGCAATTAAATAGATCCCACCAGACAAAACCACCAAAGAAAACTCCAGTGTTCTATCCCACTCGAAATCCTTTTTTCTTCATGAAGTGACTGTTATCAGTTGGTCCAACAGGAATAGAACATCCTGTTCACCAATAAAATAATCACTGCTCCTTATAAGCCCTGAGGCCTTTGTTTTATCAATCATTTCCATGTCAGTAACAAAAACTACCATTTTAAGCACTGACTATGAGATACGCTCCAGGCAAGTTGATTACCCTAACACTTAATGATAATCCTACACGTTCAGCATTATAATTTCCTTTTTCCGGATGAAGAAACTGAGCCACAGAGGAGTTTAGTGACCTGCTCAAGGGTTCACAACTGTCTTAACCTTTTTTTTTCCTGTCAGTGCCAGGTGTATTAGTCCGTTTTCACGCTGCTAAGAAAGACATACCCAAGACTGGGTAATTTATGCAGGAAAGAGGTTTAATGGACTCACAGTTCCACATGGCTGGGGAGGCCTCACAATCACGGTGGAAGGTGAGGAGCAAGTTACATCTTACGCTGCTGGCAGAAGGCAAAGAGAGATCTTGTGCAGGAAAACTCCCCCTTATAAAACCATCAGATCTCATGAGACTTATTCACTATCACGAGAACAGCACAGAAAAGACACGCCCCATGATTCAATTACCTCCCACCGGGTCCCTCCCACAACATGTGGGAATTGTGGGAGCTACAATTCCAGATGAGCTTTGGGTGGGGACAGGGCTGAGATTCAAACCCATCTTTGGTACTGGATCCAAAGCTCACACTTTTTCCCCCACAACACAATGTCTTCCAAGTCCAAAACTTCCTGCATTGGCCCATACTGGGCTGACAAGTTTCTATCTACTTACGTAACTTCTTATTTGATTGTCACAAACACCCTAGGATTTGGGGACAGGATAAACTAAAGGACTTGTGCAAGTCCCAAGGGCTGGTCTTCTTTCCGAGTTCTCACTGGTTATTCTCTTCTTGTCCTGCATCCAGGCACAGAGGCCCCTCATTCTGCCTTGTTAATCTATGTTCTTGTTTCTTGCCGAGGATCTCAGAGCTCAGAGGGCCTCTGCAGGTCAGAGGGTTGGAAAGGGCCAAGTTACTCCCCTGCAGAGAAAACCAATCAATCTTATGTCGACCCACCTGCTCTCAAAAAGAGCAGCTGATCAGCCACAGCTGATAAAAAGGAGGTGATTTAAAGGTCAAATGAAGGCTGGATGTCTATCTGCCCTCCTTTTGTGACAAATGTATCTGAGATGTGAGCACAGTGAGATGGTGTTATTTTAAGATGGGTGGCTTATCAGGAAGACTGAATTCACCCAGCCTGTGTCAGCTCCATTTTATAAAATGCAGTGTCCAGGAGTTACAAAAGGTAAAGCAATGGGGTGAAATGAGCACTGGAATAGGAGTGTTTTTCCAGAATACATATCAAGGCTTGGCACCAGCTACTGGTCTTTGGGCCTACTGCTTGAGCCCTTTGAGTCTGATGTGGTTCATCTTTAAAATGAGATTATACAAGCCACCATCATAACAATGCTATGATAAGAAAGCAGAATTGCCTCTTGGATTCCTAGTCTCGTGTTGTACTATACAAGAGATGCAAGAACCCTCAGAAAGCAGCTAGCAAAGCTGGTTATAATTAGTGTAATCCTATAATCTCCTCCAATCCCCTAGCAATCACCAGCACCTCTCTGAAACCTCAGTTCACCAGGATATAGTCTAAAGACCAGCTACCTAACAGTCCATTTTTGAAATGGGAAAACTGAGGCCCAGAGAAGTGAAGTGACTCAAAGCCTTGAAGTGAGTTTATTACAGAATCAAGACTAGAATGCAGGACTCATAGTTCCAGTTTAGTGCACTTTTATTTATTTTTTTCGACAGGGTCTCACTCTGTCACCCAGGCCAAAGCATAGTGGTTGATCACAGCTCACTGCAGCCTCAACCTTCCAGGCTCCAGCGATCCTCCCACCTCAGCTTCCTGAGTAGCTGGGACTACAAGCATGTGCCACCACATCCAGCTAATTTTTTTTTATTTTTTTCTTTGTACAGTCAGGCTCTCATTATGTTGCCCAAGCTACAATTTCTAATATGACATGCTAGTATGGCTTGTTCCTCTTTCCATGTGTAACTATATGTGTATAATATACAATGTTCTACAAAGTAACTTTCAAACTCCTTAGATCCCTAAGACTCCAAAAATGTGACAGTGACAAGAAAAGGCAGGATTCTTACCTCTGCTCCAATCAAGGCAAGTCTGTGTTTTTCCCTAAAATCTGTTAATAGTGTCAGCTAACATTTATTGAGCACTTAATACCAGGTTATATGTGAGTATTTTTAATGTGCATCATCGTACTTAATACTCCCAAGAGACTGTGAGGTAGCTGTTAGTCTTTTTCCCATTATAGAGATGAGGAAACTGAGGGTGAGAAAGGTTAAGTCGCTTGTTCAAAGCCATCCAGCAGGAAGTGGAGCAGGAGTCACACCCAGGTAGACTTACCCACAGGGCCTTTACCAGCAACCCTGTGTTCTTCTACCCAAGTACAATTTCCTTTAAAGAAAGGGACCCACCTCCTACCTATTATTTTTTCTTCTCTTCTTTACATTTTTTTAGTTTGGAAGGCACTACTCTGAGGTTGAGAAGAAGCACCCCAGTTTCTCTAAGTGCCTCACTGTGTGTGTTGGGTAGAGCGTCTTAGTGAATAGGTCAGTCTTCCCCAGAAGTGAAGCAGGGGGACTCACCAAAACTGTGCCCTCCACTAGGCCAACAAAGTGCCCGAGAGACCTTCCACTGGAGCTGCAGCGCTGTCAGTGAGGCCACTGCAAAGGCAATCATCTCAGCCTGAATGTGCTTCCCTCCCCTCGTCCATGTCATCTGCAGGTGCTTCATCTGCAACAGTTCCACCAGGGAGATGAGACAACAGCAGCCTTGGTGTGCACGCAGCTTCTCTGGAGTCATGCTAGTTTACTATCAAGCCCAAATCCAAACCTCAGCTTTGAAACAACCTACTTTCCTTCAATAAATTCCTGCAGCTTTTACTTGTCCCTGATCTTTTCTGCCTTGACCCCAGAAATGCCAGCTACACATGGGGCTGCTGAAACAAAGGCTATATATAAATGCCTGGGCCTTGAGATTCCTATTTCAAAAGTAGACGATACACTCCTGCTTAAAGGTCCCACTCAACTCCCGAAGCTTGCTTGGGACTGAGTGGCTGGGTCCCTTTGGAAAGGACCCGAAAAGGAGATGCCAGATAGACTTGGAAAGGACCCAGAAAGGAGATGCCAGATAGACATCCTCTGACCTAAAGTACCAGTAAGCAGGGACAGCAGATCCCAACGCCTGCTCTAGTAATGCTGCCCAGCTTTCCTAAATGAATCCAGGTATCAGCCAAATCACTCTACAACCACCTAACACAACACAGGCCTGAGAAGAGTAGCATAGGATGTTATTTAATGACAAGGAATTATGTTCATGATTGTCAAGGGGAAAACTCTATACAATAAATAGTACATTTCAGTTTCATATTTTCAACACACATATTTATGCAAATTCAAATAAAATAAATGCACTAAAAGTTTTAATGAGATATTGTTGTATAAACTGTTTCTATTATAGTTTTTCACTTAAAGTAGCATGAACATCTTTCTGGATACACACAAGTGTGTATGTGTGTGTTATGAGTGTGTGTGTGTGTGTGTGTGTGTGCACCTCCTCTGTGTTAGATTACCTGTGATTTTTGTTCTTTCTTATTTCCATGTTTTGGGAAGAAAGCTATTGAATTTGCATGCCTGCCTCCTACTTGTCCTTTGAGGAACAATCCATTCCACCCAAACAGTTGTGGCAGGGCGATGATAGTGCTCTCATCCCCACCAATACTGCCACATGACTCAGGCTAGGCCAGCAGAGCCCTCCCTCCCCTCGTGCACAGTGAATGGTTCAGAGGAGAGCTCATGGCCCAGAGGAGCTTGCGTCTCCTCTAAGACTTACTATCTGAGCATTGTAAGGAAGAGGAGCTTGCTTGTCCTCTGGGATGTTAAGCTAAAAAGACCATAATTAGCCAAGAATTATTGGGAGATTTATTATGCTGCTTCCAGTATATGGAGAAATCCTTTCTTAGAATGAAGGCAAGACAGATCAGAAAACAGAGCCAGGAAGTGAAGAGAGAGCCCTAATGACATTGATCTTCAGGATCCAGCCATGACTAAAGCTGGAATGATCCCTGAAATTCTCAGTGATGTGCCCTAATAGATTTCCTCTTATACTATGTGAATTAAATCTCTGTAAAAGACACAGCACCTGTGTTTTCTAATAAACAACTATGTGTGCATATGTATATATATGTATGATATATCCCTTTTTATGAACAGTAATAATAAATTCAATCCATTCTTCAAGCTTTATGAGTGTATTCCTCAAAAGTCTCTTCTCTGTTTATGGCATCAATTTTGCACTCCATACTGCCATATATTGTTAATTCATTGATTTTTCATATGTCAGAATCTCCCCAAATAAATAAGTTCCTTGAAGAAGGAGTTGTGTCTACCTTACTCCATAACACCCAGCACCATGCATTGTTCAAAGTAGGAATGTGAAAAGCTCCACCCCACCCCCTCACCCCATCAGCAGACATGCATTTAAGTTAGATTTCTTCTCAGCAGGATGAGGTGCCTTACAGCATTCTCACTCCTGTAAGTTCATTAGAAGAGAGCTACCTAGCATTTGGGTCTGTGTTCATGTTCATCTGAGAAGACAAGCAAGATCCTCTCTCTTACAACACTGAGATAGTAAGAGAAGAGGCTCTTACTCCTCTTAGAGGAGACTCAAGCTTGAACTGGGCTACAAGCTCTCCTCTGAACCTTTCACTGTGAATGAGGGGAGGGAGAGTTCTGCTGGCCGGGCCTGAGTCATGTGGCAGTATTGGCGAGGATGAGAGCACTATCATGGCCCTTCCACATGATCAAACCCAGAATCACTGAATGTCAGAGTGGGAAGAAACTTCAGCCATCACCCCGCCCAGTGGTTTTCAAAGTGGTTTTATGAAAGCCTGGGGCTGTGCATGGATGTCAGGAGGCAGACATCCCAAAGTCTGATGAGAGAAGCAAGCGGTTATGCTGAATGGACTAAATCCATGCCTGTTTCCACCAGAGCAGTCTTTATTTAATCCTTTTAAATACTGAGGTTGTTAAAAATGCTAACTCCTGGGTTCTTTCCTAGACATACTGAAACCTATGGTCAGATTTGTGATTCCAGCATTTTCTTTTTAACAAGCTGGCACTAAAGTTTAGGCAGCATGACTCTAGCGTCCCCAGAAATTGAGCCCCTTGACATCCATATCTGGAAATCCCATCCATCCTTACCAGTTCCCTGCCTAGCTAACCTCCACCCTCCTGAGGCACAGTAATTGAATGTCACATGTTGAGCATAATCCTAGAAAATCCTCTGTCATCATGCTGAAGTCCCAACAGCTTGTAGTAATTAGATCTAGACTGGAAAGAGGTACAAAGGAATCATACACTGTTACAATTTGAAGCTTCTGAGGTTCATGCAATGAGGGAGACCAGGATCAACCAAAGAAAGTGTAGCTACAAATTCCAAGTAAGGGGCAGTATGGAGGCCACAATATCCATGGGACATTCCCCATTCATTTCAGTTCCTCTCACCCCTCCTGTCCCCAACCTATGTCCTATTCAGAAAGGACATGCAAGTGTGGTAGCAAACTTCATCTCTTGCAATATTAGATGGTGGATTTTAAAACTCCCCCTCTTTTGGCCTGGCTACATTTTAGCAACTTGATTTAAAAACAAAGAATCCTTCCTATTCTTTCTCCCCACCTCTTGAGTCAGAATCCACAGGAGTGGAATCCTGAAATCTGTACATCTATGAAGATCACATTGATTTTTATGTAGCCAGTCCAGCTCCAATCCACAAACTAAATTTGGTAACCCCCATTCATGTCCACATTTGAATGTTCCTAGGTTCTGTTAAAAAAGAAAAAAAGATTAGGATAGAAGAGGAAATCAAAGATGGCCTGAAAAACAAAAGGCCTGGAAAGAACAAAAGAGTTAGAAAAATCACCATTTTGCAACCACTAATGAAAAGATGGACCTAGACAGGATGATCAGGGCATGCCAAACTCATTAGGTGAAAGGTTGACTGGAGAACTTTGCCATGGTGGGACCAGACTGACATCATGCAGATTAGGAAGACTTGACATTACACACCCAGAATGTGGTAGAAAAGGAAGTACAATACTCACAATATGTTCGAAGTCATCTAGCTGAAAAAATGGAGCCTGAATATAATCATACTCTAAACTTACTGCCACTTTATAGGAAATACTGGGGATAAAAGAACAACTTAAATAACAAGAAGGGATAAAAGAAAAACTTAAATAATAGCAGGAAGAAGTAATCAACTAAATTCATAATCTACAAAAGAACCAATTTCTCTAACAAGCCAATGGTATTAAAAGGTGGGGAGAAGGGACACTATTAAAAAATAAAGGAGACTTAAGAGACATAATTAACCAATACAATGCATGAACCTTGTTTAAATCCTGATTTCAATGAAGCAATTATTAAAAGGCAATTTTTGAATCAATCTGGGAAGTGTAAGTATGACTGGTTACCAGTGCTACTCAGGATTATTGGAAATGCAGCTAGGCACAAAGAATCCAAAGTCCTTATTAGTTAAAGCTACATATGAAGTATTTATAAGTAGAATGACGTGATTCTGGCATTGACTTTAAAACACTCCAGTTTAAAAAAATGGTTAAAGCAAGATTAGCAAAATGTTGACAATTGTTAAAACTGGGTAATAATATTATATTATTCTCTCTACTTTTTTGTAGTTTTAAACATCTCCATTATAAATTCTTTTTAATTCCTGGCACCATTATTCATCCCTAGTAGGAAATGAGTTGATGATTGGTGAGAGGGAGTACGAGTGAAAAGTGAACAAACAAAAATGTAATTGACACACAGGAAGTTAATGGCTAACTGAACTCCTACTCAGCATCACCCAATGTGAATATGAAAACCCCTTCTTAGATGTTCAATCAGTTTTGCCTCATACTGTATTTCAGGCCTCAAATTAGATTTCAGGAGGTTAAAAAAATACCATGGGAAGGTTAGAGTCTGGCAAGGAGGTCGAAATATAAGCAAAATATAATGTAGAGTAATAATTAAGCAAAGCAAATTTATTTGAGTACTTCCTCTGTTCTAGAAACTGTGTATTTAATATTATCTTATTTGATCTTCACTACACCTCAAAGGTAATTATCATATCCAATTATAAAGAAATTAAGTCCTAATAAAGCTCATATCAAGTTCATGCAGGTAGCACCTGGGCGGAGGAGGCAGCCTACAGGACCTAATATGGCATATAGAGAAAATGCATTTGGGAAGATGGAGTCAGTTCTTGCTTGTTCTTCTACAGGAATAAGTGTAATAATGGAGAAGGTAATGTCCTTGCTTTGAACAGCTGGCCCATCTGGAAGGGCCATTTAGAAGGTTATGTTGGTACCAGTTTTCTTTTATCTTAAGAATGGAGGGGAACCTTGAAATATTTAGCAAAGTTCAAAGCTCTGAGGCTATTCAACCCATGAGAATCTTTCCTTCTTGGATCTGCTTGTTCTTCTTCAAATTCCAGCTCAGTTCCCATCAGAAGAGCCAAGCCTTTAGGGATTGCTACCTTGGAGTCAGATAGATATGGGGTTTGATCTCAGCTCTGCCACTCACCGACTAGCAGCCTTAGGGGAAGTTCTTGGACTCCTGGGCCCACCTGTAAAGTGAGATGGTGATTGTCCCTCCTCCACAAGATAATATTTGTATCTACATAATACATTTAATACCATGCAGGGGATAAATAAATATTTGTTGCTATTAGAATAATAAAACTTTGCACCCTACTGAGATTTTTCCTTTTTCCAGAACCCTTGTGCACCCTGACCAGTGAACTTCAGCTGATGATAAACCAACGCCTAGCTCACAGTATAGAGTAGGCAGTTAATAAACATTTACTGTATACATTGATGTCTACCTAGTGATGTCTCTCCCATAGGCTTATAACATTATTTAACTTTGGTACATGTTCTTCAACTAGAAGGTAACTATGGAAGACAGAAACTTATCTGCCAATTCTGTATCCCCCAAAGCTTATAGCATGAGATTAGAGGCTCAAGAAACACTTGCTAAAAAAATAGCAAAGAGTTGGCTGTGTCTATGGGACAGAATGACCAGAGCCCCAAGTGTGTCTCTAGTACAGCCTCCAATTGAGCTCATCCTATAGGAAACAATGCAAAACCTAACAACCAAGTCCAGTGGAGGTAATTCAAGCTCCAGGCAACCAGAAGCAATTTCTCCCAACTCTCTGCAATACCCACCTCTGCTCTCCGCTCTACCAGGCCAGGAAGTGGATGCGTTCCTCTCGGAGATTTGTGATGCCTCTGTTGGGACAGAGGAAATGCTGCAGCAGCGACAGTGTCTGTGCAGGAACGCGTGCAGCAGGCTGGCCTGCTGGAGAGACGCAGGCTGGCCAAGGAGCGGAGGGCTCTACTCCCCTGGGCATGGCATGCTGCCGCAGCTGACCACAATAATTCATCATGCTTAAAAACTCACCCTTGGGAGGGGCCCTGAAGGAAGTAAGGGAACTGAAGCCACAGTTTCTCAGGAAAACTCAGCACCTGTGATTTTTTTTTAATCTTTTTCATCAAGCCTAAAAGGATGGTGAGAATCATCCAATCAGCAGGATTTTATGAACATAATCCAAAAAAGGAACTCTCATTCTGGACCGAACAGTCAAAACAATCTAAGAAAAATTGACCTCACCTATAAGACAAATTCCCTTTTTACTGCAAAGCATCTTCCCACATCCCAACACCTATCCCACTGCTTTTGACACCGTTTTCTGTGTGAGGAAAAGAGCTCAGGTTTAAGGAGGCAGGTGTCTAGCCCAGCCCCTGCATGGCCTTGGGCAAGTCACTCCTACTCTCTCAACCTCAGCTTCCTTGTCTCTAAGAAGAATGAGCTGTATCAGAGTGCACAAATTTAAGTGACTGAGGCAGTTTACACACATACATAATGGGTGGGCAGATGGCAAAGGTGCTAAGCTGCTCACACTGTCACCTGGCTAAAACTCTGGGAGAGTGTAACAAAGAACACAGCAAAACAAAATTCTTACAAGTCAGCCTGCTTGTGACCCATATTAAAAAGCTACCTTTTGGACCTTTCTAATTCTATGAAATTCTCCTTGTTCCAATGGCACTTACAATTTTTTCCCGTGGCACCATCTCCCTGGCACCCTGCCAGAGTTGGCAACCAGCTGTGCTCATGTGTGGCAGCTGTAGGAGCAGCCAGAGATTCTCTCTTCCAGAGAGTGAATGGAGAGAGGTGGGGATGAGAAAGAAGGAAGGCGCGAGAGAGGAAGTGGGGAAAGAAGGAGAGAAGAATCTTTTCATTTAAATTAATTCCCTCAACATCTCTACAAGTGAGAAAACTGAGACTCAAGGAGGTTAAGATTAATAATTAACTCAAAGACTCTCTGCCAGTGAGGAGCAAAGCCGGCATTCAAACCTAGGTCTGTCTGAATGCAAAGCCCTTGCTCTCCTCCTGCTCCACATTTCCCCCCAAATGGGGTCAGAGAGAGCCTGACTTCAACTGAGTAAAGCGAAAAGACCCCTGTCTTAGTCTGTTTAGCCTGCTATAATGCATTACCATAGACTGGGTAACTTATAAACAACAGAAATGTACTGCTTACAGTTATGAGGCTGGGAAGTCCAAGATCCAGGAACCAGCAGATTTGGTGTCTGGTGAGGGCCTGCTCAATGCTTCAAAGACAGTGCATTCTAGCTGTGTCCCCACGTGGTGGAAGGGACAAACAGGCTCCCTTCAGCCTCTTTTAAAGGATGCTAATCCCATGCATGAGGGCAGAGCCCTCATGACTTACTTCCCAAAAGCCCCCACCTCTTAATACTATCAGATTGAAAATTAAGTTTCAACATAGGAGTTTTGGGAAGGCACATTCAGACCACAGCAGCATCCCACACATACGTGTGAGCCGCAGAAGAAAAGCTGTACTCACTCAATAACTCAGTATTGCTGAGCTAAATCTCTCCCTGGGGCATCTTTCTCTCTCCAACGCTGCCAACATTCCAATTTTGGCATTTGTTTACACCCTTCCCTCTAGAATTTCCCTCTAGCCAGACTCCAAAAACCAGCTAAAGCCTTCCTCCTTCAGGAAGTCTTGCCTGCTTCATCCCTCTCTACCTCCACTTAAGATTCCCTCTCTACATAGGCTGCAGCCCACACTAACAGTAATAAAAACACAACAGTAAGGGCAAGAACAGTTTTTATTGAGTTCTAGCTCTATGTCAAGCTCTGTTCTCAGTACTTACTGTAGATAAATGTTAATCCTCATAAAAGTCCTGTGAGGTGAGTACTAGCACCCTCTTACCCAGACAGTAAGGTTAGGTTACTTGTCCCCCGTCACAAGCTCAGAAGCAACAGGGACAAGATTCAAACCCAGGCAGTCTGTCCCAGCCAGATCTTCATTCCTAATCACCCCCACTGCACTGTCTCATATTTTCAGGATTCTTTACAAACAGCCTCCTCATTTTTCATCTCATGTTCAGGTTCACAACAACCCTTAGATATAAAAAGGGGGAAATCTTAAAAGAAGAAAATAAATCTGTAAGTTAGGAAACCTGCTTAAGCAATGCACCCACTAAGTGGTCATTCCAGGACCCCAGGTCAAACAGTACCCAGGCCCAGCTTATAAGTCTTAGCACCAAGACCAGAACATCTCCCAGAGGTGGCACAGCCGGTATCAAACAACTGTAGTCATGGGCCACCACCAGGGATCAGGGAGGAGGGCAGAGAGTGGCCATGAATTGAACCCAACAGTCAGAAGCCAGAGAAGGGGAGCTGGCAAGCCCCAGGGAGCAAATACTGACGATGCTTTTCACTCCAGCGGAGGGCATGCAGCTCCTGTGCTTACCCCATGGCTGCACATTGTAAGTAGCCAATGAAGGATGGAGACATAGTGTGTGTTTCTTTTTTTCAGGGTCTGAAAGAGCTAGTACTGAAATCTCCTTCTTAGGGAAAATGAAACTAAAGGCCAGAGAGGAAGGTCTGGACCAAGATAACAGAATAAATTAGGACAAAGAACAAAAACCCGGGTCTCCTCCCTTTAGCCTCTCTTCACCAGAAACATCCTCTGCAGCACCCAGCAGCCCCTGAGAACGGACTATTACTCACTGGACAGACAGCCTGGGAAATCCCAGGCATCTGGCTTTTGCCCTAGCATGTTCTCAGCCTCTGCAGACAAACACCACATGCAGGAAGGGTGGGTACCACCATCTGCACAGAGCCTTAATGAGAAGGCTGTGATCTCTTGGTGTCTTAGCCAAGCTGTTTGCCCATCTCAGGGAGTGAGCACCTTTGGCCTGACCTAACATAGGCCTTTCACCCCTGCATGGCCTAAATAAGTCACCTTGGAGTCCTCTCATCTGCTCTGCAATGAATGTCTTCCTTTGTCAGGGAAATACTTGTTAAATATCCTGGCAGCAGGAAAAGAATGGAATGAATCCCATAAGGATTATAGGTTTGAAAGGAAAACCATCATACCTTGGTCTGTCTTTATACAAGATGAGATTCTTCAGTGTCCAGTCTCCTGAGATCTCTTCGCTGTGGGAGCTAAGAATGGTAACCTCACTTCAAGGGTCCTTGATGAGATGTCCATGGAGCATAAGAAAAAAGGTAATGCTCACTTCAGTAAAAGTCCGTTAACAATTATGTCCTTCATCAGTAAAATGGGTTGGCTCCACAGGACAATGAGTCACATAGAAGATGAATCTTTTGGGACTCTGGAGCAGATCCTGTGTGGCAGAACATTAAATAGAGGCATCAACATTCCTTTTAAATCTCTAGTTCTATTCCCATGATCCTTGGAGGGTAGCAATATAAATAACATAGGTTTCAGAATCAGGATAGTGCAGTCCAGTCCTGGCTCTGCTATTTAGAGTCTGTGTGACCTTGGACAAGGTGTTTCTGATCTGTGAGATGTGGCTGACCCTTCCCCTACCTCTTTGGGTTATTGAGAAGATGAGAACAATGGGGGGTATGCCCTGCACCCTTCCAGGCACATAGTGTTCAGCAAATATTAGCCTCCTCACTTCCTAAAAGGGGGCATCCAGAACTGCAAGATCTCCTGATCCTAAGGCTCATAAAAGAAAAAAATGTCTGTGATTCCAAAAGAAATTGGGCAAAGAGAACATTGATAGGAAACCTTTCCTGGCTCTCAAGAACACTGGGGCCATCTTCTCCCTAACCTTTAAGATAATGCCCATGTTGATTTTATTTCCAAACTTGCAATTTGGCAACTTGCTCTAGCCTTCTTTCCCCCACTTTTTCTTCCAATGATTTAGGCTGAGCTGTTGCTTGAGCCAAAAAAAAAAAAAAAACCCACGCTGAAGTCTGCACCCTTCCCTCCAGAAGATAAATTATGTTGGTTTTCGCAGTGAGTGAATTGGGGCAGGAGAGAGATTTCACTAGAATAAAATGTTCTAGGCTGAAAAGGTGACTTCAAGTAGATTTTCTTTGTTTGCAGAGGTTCCCAGACCCCCTGATTTACCTGCTCCAGCCTGGGGTGGCTGCTCACCTCCAGGTGATGGCCTCGGGGGAGCCTCTTAAGACTTGGAGCAGAGGTGGCTCCGAACTGAAGGACACTGACAATTGGCAGCTTGCCTCTGTCCTCTTCTCTCCCTTCCCTCACAGGAACGGAGCTGTGAGTGAAGACAGGAAGAAATAAACCATCCTCTGTTTTTCAAGAGAAAGATAGCTTTTAGCAGAATTGTCTAAGATATCACACCCAAGGAGAGCAGGCCTACTTCCACCTATTCAGCATTTTCCAATCAATGTAACAATGACTTTACATGGTACAGGAGATGATTTTAAGACACAGACACATTAAATCACATTAAGTCATTTAGTGAGGAAGTTATTTACTTTCCAATCCTCTTTAAATTCTTCTCATTAGAAAGGAAGAAGCCTCAGTTTGGTGCTAGTGTGTCTTTAACCCTGTCCTACCACTTTCTTAATCATCCTTGTTAAACAAAAAAGCAGTCCGCAGCCCTGGTCCTTTAGCAGGAAACAGTATCAGCTAGAATGTAATTGCTTCTTCTGTTTTTGTTATACTTATTTTCAGGTCATCTACTTTTTAAAGCAAGTGATAATGGCTTCCCATTTATTGTAGTATGAAGATTCCTTTTAAAATAAATACATGTATGTTTTGAAAGGTGGGCCAATGTTAAGGAAAATATTAAGCAAATAATATTATAGGTGATTCACAGATATGACAACAATCACAAAGATACAAAAGACTAAAATTGGATAAATGTTGGATTGATTGGAAACAAATACATGGCATGCAACTCTTTTCCCACTTCTTTTTCAAATTAAATAATATATCCTGTTGCCTCATTTTTCCAGTTGAAATCCACTCAGGCTCTCCCACTTCCTTTTTCCTTTCTTTTCCCAAGGCTTCCTTGGTAGCAGAGGAATTTGCTACTGGTGAGAAGCATATCATTTTCCTTCCCCTTAGATTCAACGTGAATGCTTGGAGCCATACAAATGCCCATTATACTCATCTATTCATTCATTCAGTTAATATACATTTGCAGGCACCCACTCAGTATCAGTCCTGTGTCAGGTGTGATGATACAGCAATGAACAGAAAAGACACAGTCCCTGCCTTCCTCGGGCTCAGAGTCTAGCTGAGGAGGCAGAAGACTACACAAGCGACTGCAACATAGTGTCATACATCCTGGAACGGGGGAGCCACATGGCACTGAGAGCGCAGATAGGAGATCAGGGAAAGCTTCCCGGGTGAAGGCAGCAGTGCCTTATAGTGCTATGTCTGCCAGCTCCATATAATCACACGTGGAGACCAATCTCAGTACCATCACTCTCCTGCTGGGAGATCTTGGGCTAGGGACTTCAACCCTCAGCCTCAGCTTCCCAGTCTATTAAGCGGGGATCATTTGATCTCCCTCTTAAAATTATTTTAAAAATTTAATGAGACAATGAGTAGAAAATGTTGTAGCGCATTGCCCAGCACATAGTAAATGCTCACTAAATGCCACATGACTTCCTTAAATATCTTTCATCCAAAAACTATCTCTTACACACTTGAAATTGTATGCAAATATTCCTGCCCAACCTCAGCCAATTCTATTTGAAAAAAAGCAAAGAGAAGTTAAGTCTGTTTATACAACACACAACAGATCTAGGACAATACTGAATAGAAACACTGTGCTTCTGATGTGATAGTTTGTCCTTAAGTACAATTGGGTCTTGAAGAAAAATCCTGGGGTTGAGGAAGAATTGATTACAGTGGCCAAGATGGGGACGTTCCAAAGAAAAACGTTATGTGGTAGGATTAGTTGGTTGGAGGCGGTGGTGGGTGGGGAGTGGAAAGGGTGGGGTGAGGGGAAACAAAGAATGAATATAGTGAAAAATAGATAATAAATGTTGGAAGCAGAAAAAAGTAAAGAATAAGCTCTCCCTTTCATGTCCTCTGCAGGGACATGGATGAAGATGGAAACCGTCATTCTCAGCAAACTATCACAAGAACAGAAAACCAGACACCGCATGTTCTCACTCATAAGTGGGAGTTGAACAATGAGAACACATGGACACAGGGAGGGGAACATCACACCGGGGCCTGTTGGGGAGTGAGGGGCTGGGGGAGGGATAGCGTTGGGAGAAATACCTAACGTAAATGACGAGTTAATGGGTGCAGCACACCAACATGGCACATGTATACCTATGTAACAAACCTGCACGTTGTGCACATGTACCCCAGAAATTAAAGTATAATAATAAAAAAAGAATAAGCTCTCCTTAATTAAAAATAAAAGAGAACTCTCCAGATTCTATTAGAAAATGTGAAGAGCTATAGCAGGTATATACGAGTACACAGTGTCTTTTCCAAAATGAAAATTAGGACTATAGAAGGAACTACAAATCTCTACAAATTTTTATGATGCTTTCATGTTCATAAAGTAGATTCCCATGCATCACATTCTCACAATGGCCCTATGAAGTAGGTATTACTATTAGCTCCGCTTTATAGATGGAGAACTGAGGCTTGGAGAGAGGATTTGATTTGTCCAAAGTCACCAGTGACTTCATGGAAGTGCCAGGGATCAACCTCAGACCTCCTGACTCCATGCCTGGTGACCTAGACTAGGGGGCAGAAATTTTTTCTGTCAAGGGCCAGATAGTAAATACTTTTGGCTTTGTAGGCCATGCAGTCTCTGTCAAAACTTTTCAACTGGCCCATTGTGGCATGAAAGCAGCCATAAATGAATGTAAACAAACAGGTATGACTATGCTCCTATAAAACTTTTCTATGGACACTGAAATTTGAATTTTGTGTCATTTTCATGTGTCATGAAATATTATTCTTTTGGGTTTTTTTAACCATTTGAAACTATCTTTAGCTGGTTGGTTACAAAAACAAGTGTCAGGCCAGATTTGGCCCGTGGATGGTAGATTGCAAACTCCTGTTCTAGAATATCTCAAAGATGAATGAGGCATAGCCCCGCACTCACAGACTTGGAGCAAAGGAGGCACAACAAATTCTACTTCTGGATAATTTGTTTCAGTTAAATTTCAGTCACTGCAGTACAACTGTCACAATACTTGTCATATCTGCAAAAAATTTCTCCTATTATTTAACCTTTTTTTCCCATTGACTGACTTTTTGACTTAAGTTTCTTTTTACATGTTGTTACACTTTTACAAATGAAAAACTCATTTTACTTTCCAAAAAGGGAAAAGAAACAAAAAATTAAAAAACAATATAATTAGATGAGTACTATTAAATTCTAACTACCTACAATCACCTGCCAAAGTGATTGGGCCTGAGGGCTGCTTTGTCTTCTGCCTTTATTTGAAAAAAAAAAAAAAAAAAAAAACCTGGCAAAGGGCAAAAAGGTGTTTCAAAATCATACTGACACCAACATGACACCTTCCTCTTGATGTAGTCAGAAATACTACAGAGGGACTAACTTTCTCAGCATGTAATCCAATTCTATTCAATACCAGGTCTTTGTCTATGTAAAATCATCTTCCAGGCCATAAGGCCCATGAAGCCCACACTCTGGAAACTGCTATAATACAAGCAAAGTGCCACAGATTTGTACAAGCAGGAGGGACACATCTGGGTGGAGGCAAGAAAAACTTTAAAAAGAAAGTGGCCTTTCAGAGACTTTGAATAGTATCTAGGATTTCATTAGACATGAAATTCAGAAAGAGCATTCCAAACTGCTGAATAAAGGGGTGAATGGGCAATAAGACCAAAAAGAAATATGGCTTCTAAATCATGAATGGCCTGGAATATCATGCCATGGGCTTTGGATCCAAGCCTTCTTGTTTTCTTGAATGTTCTCTAAGTCAATGGATGCTCAAGGTTATATTTTTAGACACTTCTACATGAGGGAGATAAGAAGATGTAGTCCAGGGTCTCTAGAAAAGGCCCATGGAGGGGCCGAGAATGGTGGCTCATGCCTGTAATCCCAGCACTTTGGGAGGCCGAGACAGGCAGATCACCTGAGTTTAGGAGTTTGAGACCAGCCTGGCCAACATGATGAAACCCCGTCTCTACTAAAAATACAAAAATTAGCCGGGTGTAGTGGCGCACACCTGTAATCCCAGCTACTCAGGGGGCTGAGGCAAGAGAATTGCTTGAACCCAGGAGGCGGAGGTTGCAGTGAGCTGAGATCACACCATTGCACTCCAGCCTGGGTGACAGAGCAAGATTCCAACTCAAAAAAGAAAAAGAAGGCCGGGGGCAGTGGCTCACGCCTGTAATCCCAGCACTTTGGGAGGCCGAGGTGGGCAGATCACAAGGTCAGGAGATCGAGACCATCCTGGCTAACACGGTGAAACCCCGTCTCTACTAAAAACACAAAAAATTAGCCGGGCGTGGTGGCAGGTGCCTGTAGTCCCAGCTACTCAGGAGGCTGAGTAGGAGAATGCGTGAACCCGGGAGGCAGAGATTGCAGTGAGCCAAGATCGCACCACTGCACTCCAGCCTGGGCGACAGAGCGAGACTCTGTCTCAAAAAAAGAAGGAAAAAAAAGAAAAAGAAAAGAAACGGTCCATGGGGACGTGGGGACAGAGAGAATTATTAGGACTGGTGGTTCTTGACTTTTGTACCACTGAAGATCCATTTTGCATTTACTCTTGTGCATTTCTGCCTTTGAAATATTTCAGTCTACTAAACTGCATGATTTAAGTCTTGATGACTGTCCTGTTTTCTTGACCAGTGATATGCATCCTCCCAGTTATCCTGAGAGACTGGTACTGACTGCACTCAACCGCTCTGGTTTCAGCCAAAAGTTAAGGAAGAGCCTTGACAGGGGAATTAGTGTTCTCGTTTGGGCAACTGTGTCATGAGGAACTCTGACTCCAAATCAAGAACACTCAATGCTGAACCTGATTGTCCTATTCTAGCTCCTCACATGAGTATGAATTCAGAGCCTATTCTCCAGGACCACCGACGATTTTACGCCACACAGAACTGGTATGGAAATGGAAACAGGATAGCCTCAATGGTAATTTTTTAAAAGAAAGAAAGAAGAGGGCATCATACGCTCAACTGCTTGCTCTCTTCTTCATTTGGAAACCTATACATAAATATAAAGACTGTTCTTCTGTTATAGACTGTAATGTAATCACAGAGAAGCAAATGCAGTTTGTGGGAGCTGCTTCCCACCTGTGGTGTTCCCACAGTGTTCAATAACTCGATAATCTCACAACTGGTCGGTGGAATCACAGTGTAAGGCAACATGGCTGCGATGCAGCTGTAGAAAATGCCCAGCAGGGCCTCTCCAAGGATCTCCCATGAAGGCAGAAGTACTGGCCCCCTGCAGAATCATCCAGGAAACAAGGCCCATCCTCATACCTGCTCAGTGATAGTCACCCCCAAAACACACATAGCTTTGAGGCTTGCAGAGGGCTCCCAATCTCCTGAGCAAGAAGTGAAACAAGATACCTGAGTCCCAGTGAACTGAGATGACCCCCAAACTCCCACTGTCTAAAATAACCTCTTCTAGCCCTGCTCACCTCCTACCTGAAATTCATAGCTTCCTGCTCTGGCGTAGGATTGTTTTATAAAAAACAAAAGTGCTACAAATTCATTGTGGCCTTGCCATGTTACAGCAAATGCCTTCGGAATATGGGAGCTCCCGCACGCACATGGAAGCCAGTGTTCATTTCTAACTCGACTTTGCCTACCTTACCTTCAACCTCCTCACACTGGGCTTCAGCACTTTCTGAAGTTTGGTCTTCACTTTACTCTCCAGCTTTCTTCCCCACTACTCTTCTCTATACCCTCTGCTGAGACCCAAAGGCTGTCTCCTAAGGGAGTCCCACCCCCGCCCCTTTGCCCTGGCTAAACTTACTCTGGAGAACATCCTCCTCTTTATGATCCACCTCCTCCAGAAAGTGTTTTCTGAATTCCAGGCCATAGTGACCATATTTCTCACCTTGCATCCTCCCCCTTGGAAACACTGAGGAGGCAGAAAGTCCAGGGAAGGATTGTGCCATGGCCCCTGCACTGCTCCCTTTATTGAACTCATTTCCCCCTGACCCCCACAACCCATGTCATATGTGTCTGTTTCCCAGATGCTGAATTTCTTTTTTTTTTTTTTTCACTTTAAGTTCCAGGATACATGTGCAGGATGTGCAGGTTTGTTACATAGGTAAACACGTGCCATGGTGGTTTGCTGCACCTCTCAACACGTCACCTAGGTATTAAGCCCAGCATGCATTAGCTGTTTTTCCTGATGCTCTCCCTCCCCCCACACCTCCTCCTGCCAATAGGCTCCAGTGTGTGTTGTTCCCCTCCTGGTGTCCCTGTGGTCTCTCATTATTCATCTCCCACTTATAAGTGAGAGCATGCAGTGTTTGGTTTTCTGTTGCTGTGTTAGTTTGCTGAGGATAATGGCTTCCAGCTCCATCCATGTCCCTGCAAAGGACATGAACAAATGCTGAATTTCTTATGAGCATGGATTATGCCATCTTCCCTACTGCATACCCAGCACTTGATTCAGTACCTCCCCCAGTGGAGATACTCAAAGAATGTTGTCTGAATGAATAAATCACAAATCAAATATGCAAGTGAATACAGGCTTGAGAGTCAGATACACCTGGTTTCAAACCCTGACTCTACTATTCTACAAGCCTGTGACCTTGGGTAAGTCACTTGAACTCTCCAGGCTTCAGCTTCAACTTCGTCATCTGCAACATCTACAAGAGAGTCAGAATACTCCCTGAGGAGTTGTTGGTAGCGATTAAATTGCATAATACACACTAAACTCTTAGCACATGCCTAAAACAAGAAAAGCATTCAATAGATGATACCCATAGCTGTGGACCTAGAACCTCAACTGTATGCCAGGCACTGAGATAGGCACTGGGGATTCTGCAGTCATTAAAATACAGGGCTTGCTTTGTGTTGTAATTATTGTGTTTATGTAAACCTTATCTTCCCAGTTAATGATGGAAGAGTATATTCATTTTGTTAAACAGTTTATATTAATGATCACCTGTGATCTTCACAATAACCCCATAAATTAGGCACATTTAACAGATTAGGAAACTAAGGCCAAAGAGTTAACCAACTTGGCTAAAGTCATATAGCTCACAAGGGATGAAACAGACACTTGAAAACATACTATCTGCCTCCAAATATCCCTTAATCTCAATACCAAGCACTCCTCTTGTCTCTAAGAACCTGTTATTTACCTTTTCCCACCAGGGGCACCACTTTATGTTACCATAAGCATCTATGAAACACAATTGGTTTGTGAGTGATGAGGTAGAATAGACACCTATGTGGAGAGAGATAAGGTGTGTAGAGGTGAACAGTAAAGCAGGATGACTGGTTTTCACATAAACTCTTTTCTCTGCAACTGCCATGGTACCTGGCTTACAGCATGTTGACCGAATGAACACCTGGAAAGAAGAGACCCAAGAAATTACCAGATTGTAGATCCTGAGTAGTCAAAAGAAACTTAATGACTGAAGGAACTGGGAAGCTGAGGCAGGACAAACAATGAAATGGAAGAGGACCAAAGCTGAGCTTCATGCAAGAAGAGCTGGTTCTAACCCATCTTTTCACTTGTCTCACTGTTGGACAATAGGCAAACCCTAGCCTCATGTCTCTCATTGCTAAAACAGGACACCAAAGGCTTGCCCTTCCAAGCTTGTTGGAACACTAAGAGACTCTAAGATTTCTGAAAGGCCTTTTTAAAAAGTTAAAAAGGCAAATAAATTTTGAGGATGATATTTTAAATGTACTTCTTATAGAGCTACAACTGTGACATGGTAAAAAGTACATCACCCAATTGTTCAAGAAGCAGGGTTTGCATCCTAGCTTTCCTTCCCTGGGCTAGTTTGCTTCCTGAGCAAACTCCTTAACCTCCTGGAGTCTGTTTCCCTATCTATAAAACCAAGGACATGAACATTAACTTCTCAGGGTTGGCCTGAGTGCTAAATATGAAGATGGATACATTAGCTCATTCTATGTGTATGTTATCCTATCTGAGATTGCCTGCAACTGTGTTTTGTTAATTTGTTAAATTTATTCTATAAATAATAAATTCTTCCCTGTAGCTCTCCTAACAGAAGACAGCATGATTTACCATAAATGGTCCAAGCTTTAGGATCAGATAGAACTCCCTTGGGATCTCAACTCTAATCCTTACTAGCTGGGTGCAGGCAAGTTACTGCCCCTCTGCATCTCTTCATCTTTAAAGCAGAAATGATAACACTACCTCATTTCTCTTTTTTAAAATGGAGATGATATTAAGTACACAAAACATACCTTTATTAAGTATCAGCCATGTGTAATAATTTCTTATCAAGGAGCTTATATAAAGAAAGAATTTGTGCAAGAGTTTTTGAGTAAATTTTGTTCTATTGTTAGTAAACCTCAAACCTTGTAGAACGGAGAATTACTCTGGGAGCAACCTGGCTCTCCACCAAGGGTTGTGCTGGGGATTTGAGATCTTTCCTTGACATTCTCTAAATGACCAAAAGACAAGAATGGATTTTCTATTCCCAGGAAACATGTTTTGTTGATGCACTAATAACCCAGCCACTGGAAATTCAGGTCAGAGATTTGGGGGAAAAACAGAAGCAACTACTGTCAGCCTTTGGGGAACCCAATGTTAGACTCAGGCTTTTAAAACAGCTTCTGAAATCTAAAAGAAAACTGCCTTTAATGAGTGCCAGCAACCAGGATCCCAGAAGAGATTGGAGAAATGATATTGTGTTTTTATCTTGCATTGTTGGCTTTGGAAAGTGGCCAGAGGCCTCAAAGGCTCAGATAGCTAGTCTCACAGTCAGCTGTCAACTATATGCTCAGAGGCACAAGCTCTAAGGTCTCTGGGGGAACCTCCCTGACCTTTTCTGCCTGAAGTCTAAGACATTACCAGGAAGGAAGGATTTTGGCAGCCCCAAGGAAATGCAGAACACAGACAGAGGCTAGGGCTCCTGGTAGGAGAGGAGGAGTAGAGGTAGAGCCTCAGTAGTAACAACAATTGAGTAGTAATATAATAACAATTAGTAGTAATAACAATTGAGTACTTCCTCTGTGCCAGGCACCATGTTAAGTGTTCCTTATGCATTACTTCACAACATCCCAGTAGTAATACTATTACCATCATTTTACAGATAAGGAAACTAAAGTTTGGAGATGTTCAGTAACTTTGTCAAGGTCATACATTAGTAAGTAAGAAATCCAGAACTCGAATTCCAGAGCCCACATTCTTAGTCACTATGCACCACTGCCTATATGTTTATTAAATGAGTGAGGATTTACCTCTTGAGTATAAGCTTTGCTTCCATGAGCAAGCAAAAGCCATTTATACTGTAGATCTCTTAAATACTACTGTCTAAGTAGAAAGGGACCTGGAAGTTCGATCCATCCTAAGATACTTCAATCTCCTCTGAACTCTTCTTACAAAGTGATCACTCAATACTTGTTTTCATACCTTTAATAACACAGACCTTAACTATCTTAGAAGATATCCCCTTCACCTTTCAACAGCTTTGGCTGTAGGAATTCCTATATTGAGCTGAAACATCTACCCATTGGTCTTATATCTGCCCTTTGGATGGCACATAACACATTTAATCCTTCTTCCATATAACAGCCCTCTAAGTACTCTGGAAACAATCATTCTGGTCCCTTGAAATATACCACCTCTACCTTCTCCCACCAACCCCCCAAAATTAATTAAGGCATTTACTTACTTGTTCATGCTATGAATAAACAATTATGAATTGCTCATGGTAGGTATATCTGAGCATCTACCTAGTTATTCTAGGAGAGAAAATAAAAATACACACGAATGATTATATTACAAGGTAGAAACTTATAAAACTGGTTGATTGCATCGGCTCCTGAGGCTTCTGCATTCTTCATGTAGTTCTCGAGCCTTGGTTTTCAGCTCCATCAGCTCCTTTAAGCACTTCTCTGTATTGGTTATTCTAGTTATACATTCTTCTAAATTTTTTTCAAAGTTTTCAACTTCTTTGCCTTTGGTTTGAATGTCCTCCCGTAGCTCAGAGTAATTTGATTGTCTGAAGCCATAAAAAATGATGAGTTCATGTCCTTTGTAGGGACATGGATGAAATTGGAAATCATCATTCTCAGTAAACTATCGCAAGAACAAAAAACCAAACACCACATATTCTCACTCATTGGTGGGAGTTGAACAATGAGATCACATGGACACAGGAAGGGGAATATCACACTCTGGGGACTGTGGTGGGGTGGGGGGAGGGGGGAGGGATAGCATTGGGAGATATACCTAATGCTAGATGACGAGTTAGTGGGTGCAGCGCACCAGCATGGCACATGTATACATATGTAACTAACCTGCACAAGGTGCACATGTACCCTAAAACTTAAAGTATAATAAAAAAATAATAAAATAAAATAAAAATAAAAATAAAACTGTAAGGATACTGGAAAGAGTGCTATGCAAGTTCAGAAGAGAGTTCTTTTAGCTGGGTGATATGTGCAGATGATATAGAAGAGGTGCTGTTTGGGCTGGCTCTTAAAGTATGAGATATACACATTTTAGAGATGGAGTGTTTCTATGTTCCCTAGGCTGGTTTCAAACTCCTGGCCTCAAGCAATCCTCAATCCTCCCACCTCAGGCTCTCAAAGTGCTGCAATTACAGGCATGAGCCACCATGCCTGGCCAAGCATTGGAAATATTACTGATCATCTGTTGTAGGAAATAACTGGATAATCACAGAGTTATGAGATGCTGTAATAATATGAGAGCACTGACCTTGGAGCAGATCTGCTACACTGTTGCTATATCTCACTGCCCCTCATTTTTCTCATCTGTAAAATAGAACTTGTAACATCTGCCCTGACTATCCCTGAGTTGCCATAAGGATAAAGTGCAAGATAACAACAAAAGGGAATTGCTGCCAGGTGTGCAGGGAATTATTAAACCCTGTTTTCTTAGACTTGAAGATTAACCTGACACTTACACAACTTGGTGAGAGCTGGGGAATCAGAAGACACATGCTTTGGTGAGAGCCTTCCAATCCAGCACAAGCAGAGGAAGAAGAAAAACAAATGCCAGAGCCAAGCAACATGGCCTAAGTGTGAGCCAAGACAACCAAATAACAGCCCCAGTTCCTCGGCACCATTTCATTCAGAATAATCCTATAAGATGTGATCAAAGAAAGGATCAACAGCTCAAGCATATTACCAGCTATCTAAGCCTTTAGAGGAGAAGGCCCACTGAGAGATTAAGACACTTAGGACATGTCTGAGAGGTTTTCCTGCAGTTAGAGCTTCACTAATTGATATCCAAGCATCAGCAACTATTCCATCTGGCTCGTTATTACCACCACCTGACAAATAAGAGATTGACCTCATGCAGAGTCAAGGGCCCAAAGCAGAGAGCTGGGGGAGGTGTGTGGTGAGGTTTTTTTCAAGGTCATGCAAGACACCCTTTTGCCTCTCATCAGGCTACACAGATACACTCTTGGGTTTGTACAAGTCACATGTCCACATAGTCAATCAACCATCAACAGGCATTTATGAAGCATTGTATGAGTCACAGCTCTCTTGGGTGTAAGGATGAGAGAAATCCAACTAAAGCTAGCTTAAGCACAAAATAAATTAATTGGTGCACTAAACCAAAACGGCCAGATGAGACTGTGGTTTGAGGCTGACTGGATGAAGGTGCTCAAACAATCAAACAATATTATCTAGCATCTGTTAATACCTCTCTCCAACTCCCAATTCTGAGTGCCTCAATATTGGCTTTATTTTTTGTTTTGTTTACAGTGGGTGGGGGTGTGGTTTATGAGTAGTGGGCTCTCCTACTTACATCCTCAAAGTGTTAAGTCTTAAAAGAAAAATAAATAAAGTGAATCTTTTTCCAGCAAAAGACTCAGAATTAACTGTCATTGGATAGATTCAGGTCACATGTTTATTCCTAAGGAAGTGTCTGTTTAGGGGTGGAGCATATCAACTGAGCAGTCCTGTATCAGGCATGGGAGATCTTTGGCTAATCCTACCAACAGAGGATGAAAGAGGGGTACTCTTCATGGAAAATCCAGATACTGTTATCAGAAGAATGACAAGTGGATGCTAGGTGAAAAAAAAAAAAAGCAAAACAAAAATCCAGATGTCAATTCTCAAAACTCTTGTGGTGGAAACACAAAAAGGAAATCCACAATAAGATCATATTTTGTTATCAAGAAAATTATTCTTTAATTGAGAGGATTTGCCCCATGTAAAATTAATAGAAAACCTAATTAATTATAACTAATGATCTAAAATGTAACAATACAGATCATAAGTCTAAAAACAATGATGTTAGGGATTAAAAGTGCAGGCTCGAAGTTAAGTCTTAATACCACCAGCTACCTGCTGTAACTGAACAAGACAATCTCTCTCTGTGCCTTAAGCATTATTCCTCTATAAACTGGGGACAATAATAGACTCTATTCCATAGAGTTATTCTGATAATTTAATGAGAGAGTGTATCAGAAGCATGAAATACAGTGCAAGTCACAGTGTAAATAAATCTTGTAAAATCTTATTCATTCATCTAATGTTTACTATGTGCCAAGAACTACTACAGACACTAGTAATAGCTTGGGGAAGAAGAAATTTCCTATTACTGTGCTGCTTATATTCTAAAATGAAAAAGTAAATACATAAATGAACAAATATTAGGTAAGGATAATTGCTGCAAAGAAAAATTAAACAGAATGAATAATAGTGATGGGGAAAGTACTTCAGGAAGGAGAGTAAGAGGTTTTATCGAGGAGGTACCATTTTAACTGAGATCTGAATTACAAGAAGAACCAATTGTGTGAATATCTGTGTCTGTAGCTTGGAAACAAGAATGAACAAAAGTCTATAGCTTGGTAAGAGATGGGGAGAATGGCAGGAAGTGTTGTCAGAGAAGGGGGGTCAGGGCTGAACATATAAATCCCATGGGTAATTGTATTTCATTCTAAGTATAAAGACAATTCAATGCAAACATTAACTGTGTGAAGAATGAACTATAGGTTGGATGTAAAACTAGAAGTGACAGCTAGAGAAAAAAAATGCTTGATGGAAGAAAAAGAATAGAAAGTAATAGCTGATCCCTGAAGAAAGCATAAGGTGAGATAGGCAAAAAGACCAAAAGTGAGCCAGCTGAGGGAATCCATGGGTATAGTGCAGAGTAATGGGGACCCTACAGTGTCTCCTCATTGCCTCCTGGCTATGAAGGAGTAGTTTGGATCTGACAAACATTGAGAACAACTATAACAACCATATCAAAAGTGACATCAGATGTTTGAAGGCAATGGGGAGCAACCATAACTTGAAGAGCCAGACAGAAGGAAAATACATCAAAGTGGACCCTAAATTGGTGCTTTCTTGACTCTGGACATTTTCTGACCTCAATACAGAGCAAAAGGGCAAAACAGAAAGCAGTGGCCTAGTTCACTGGGATGGAAGGGCAAAAAAATTAATTAAATGCAGCCAAAAATTGAGGAGCAAATATCCCCCCGCAAAAAAAAAAAAAAAAGTACCACAGAAAAAGTGAGCTCAACATTCTGCATGCAATTCCTCATAATGCATTTGCCAAATTCTCAGCTGCACATACACGTGGTCAGAGGCTGAGAAGCCAAGCAAACATAGCTAATAACCTCCTCTAGGAGGTGGAGCTAATTTCCCTCTCCTTGAGTGTGAGCTGGACTTAATGGCTCAACCTCCAAAAGAAAAGAATATGGGAATAGAAAAATTGTAACTTTATAATAGAGAAACCTGGCAGAGATACTACCTAAACCAAATGATCAAGTTTATCATCAATAGTAATAAGTTATGTTGATGTCATGTATCCCCATGATATCACTTCATCTCTGTGATATTCTTCCAAAAACTCATAACCTCAGTCTAGTCAAAAGAAAATCATCGGACAAAACCAAATTCATAATTGAGTGGCATTCTATGAAATACCTGACCAGCACTCTTCAAAACTCTTAAGGCCATGAAAAACAAGGAAAGACTGATAATCTGTCACCATTTGTAGGAAACTGAAGAGAAATAATGACTAAATGTAATGTGGTACCCTGCATTTGATCTTAAGACAGTAAGAAAAACAATAAGAAAAAAACTGTACCAATATTGATTTTTTAATTTTGGCAAATGTACCATATTATATAAGATGTTAACATTAGGAGAAATTGGGTGAAGGATATATGAGAACTTTTCTGTACATTTAAAAATAAAACAAAATGAATGACAGTGGTGGGAGGGATACTTCAGGGAGGAAGGTCAGAGACAGCTTCATTACAAGATAAAGTAAACATATTTTTTAAAAAGCAGCTTCTAAGGATTGAAAAGCTTAGCAATGATTTTGGCAGTCTCACAGAGTTGAGGGAACAGAAATTGGAGTTCAGGACCCACCAAAGAGAAAGGCAGAGAATTGGCTTTCAATTAAGACCCTAATAGGCTATGCCCAAGGGATAAGGTAAATCAGAAAGTGACATGCTCACGAAGCCTGAAACACAACTTAAAATCATCTTAATCCATGATTAAATCAAGATGATCTGTCCATACTCTCTCTGCTAACCCAAAGTAAATTTAATCCTTCCCAGAAGATAACATGATCCAGTGCCACTATAATCTTTCATACACAATGTAAGGCATTCACTCAAAAAATACCAAGTATATCAGCAAACAGATACAAATAAACAAAATCTATGATAAAAAATCAAGTAATAGAAACACACCAATAGATGACCCATATTTTAGAATTATCAGACAGGAAATTTAATCAGGATTAATGCACTCCAGAAAATTGGTAAAAAGATAAGGAATGTCACCAGAGAACAATAATCTATTTTAAAGAGAAAAGAAAAGAAGAAGCAAGTGGTAATGCTAGAGCTGGAAATTAAAACAATTGAAATTAATATTTAATTAATTTAATAATTAAAATTAATTTAACAAGTGTAAAATCAGATGAAACACAGCAGAAGAGAAGATTAGTAGAAAGAGTAGAGAAGATCTAGATTGGTGCAGAGAGGAGAAAAGAGAATAAAAAATGCAGAAAAGGGCATTGACAGCATATGAGACACAAGGAAAAAGCCTAACATAAGTGCAATTGGAGTTCTAAGTGGAGAGGGAGAATAAAGAAAAAGCAATAATGAAATGCTGACTATTGATGAAATATATCAAGGCACAAATTCAAAAAGCTCTATAAGCCCCAAGCAAGATATTTGTAAAGAAAATCAAACCTAGGTACAGCACATAAAACTGGTAAAAACCAAAGACATAAAAATCCTTAAAACCATCAGGGGGGAAAAAAAGAATAATTACCTTAAAACGATCAAAAATAAGACTTACTGCTGACTTTTCAAAGATACAATGTCAGCCAGAAAACAATGGAATAACATTATTCAACAATATACTTCTAAATACCCCTAAAATGAAATAATAAAGCAGAGTGGATACCAGAAAATATTTTGAACTGAATAATATTGAAAATATATCTTATCACAACTCATGGAATGCCGCTGAAACAAACATCAGGAAAAAATATATATGAAAATAAGAAAGGTTGAAAGTTAATTATCTAAGCATCCATCTCAAGAAGCCAGAAAAAGATAACCAAATTAAACCCCCAAAAAATGCATAAGTTGAGAGCAAAATAAATGGAATAGAAAACAAATTTATAATATAGAAAAGAATTTCTAAGTTGGTTACATGAAGTGACCAATACAATGGCTAATGACCTAGAAAAAGGTAACCAATAAAAAAGGAAAAGTACACATTACCAATATAACAAAAAAGAATACATCACTCCAGATTCTGTAGACTAACAAGATAGGAGGATTATAAAAAATGTTATACAAATGTAAATTTTAAATAAAATGGACTAATGCCTACAAAGATAAAACTTACTAAAACCAATACATGAACAAGTACAATCAGAATAGTTCTATATCTATTAAACTGAACCTTAAAATATAAACCTTCCACTAAGAAACTTCCAGATGGCTTCACCAATGAACACTCCCAAACATTGAAAGAAGAAACAGCACAACTTTGAGTGGATGTTTGTAAAGAATAGAAAAGAAATAACATTCACAACTTGAAGATGCCACCATAATCTTTATACCAAAACCTGAAAAAGGTATTTTTAAAAAAGGGAAGTTACAGGTTGATCCCCCTTAAGAACAAAGATTATTTATTCCATTTAGTCATAAGCAAGCAAAATGAACATAATAGAAATCAGAATAACATTAATAGATATCTTTGGCAGATAATGACTGGGAAGAGGTAAGAGGCAGGCCTCTAGAGTCCTGGTAATGTTCTATGTGAGTGTTCATTTTGTAAATAATTTATCAAAATTTATGTATTTATGTGTATTTCAATATTAAAGGGTTTTTAAATACGCAGTACAGGAATCTCTTTTATCACCTCCTTCCTTCCAATGACACTGATTATGCTTTTCTTGTGCTATCATTTTCCAAAGTTCCTAGCACACAGAAAGTACTTAATAAATATTTATTAAAAACTGATCTTTATTTAGACATGTAAAACCTCAGCACAGTGTCAGACACACAACCAGTGTTCAAGATATATATGTTTTTTTAATAAATGAACAAGGCTTTGAGTGAATGAACAAACTCAGTAAAAGTATATACTATGTCAAGCCTTCTTAATCCCGAAAGTCTTTATGGACACAGTAGGAGATGAGAGACCCAATGAGAAAAACTGACTGGTCCAGACGCCGTGGCTCATGCCCTAATCCCAACACTTCGGGAGGCCAAGGCAGGCGGATCACCTGGGATCAGGAATTCGAGACTAGCCTGGCCAACATGGTGAAATCCCATCTCTACTAAAAATACAAAATTAGCCAGGTGTGGCAGTGCACACCTATAATCCCAGCTACTCGGAGGCAGGAGAATCGCTTGAACCCAGTAGGTGGAGGTTGCAGTGAGCAGAGACCACGCCACTGCACTCCAGCCTGGGAAACAAGAGCAAAACTCCATCTCAAAAAGAAACAGAGAGAAAGAGAGAAAAACTGACTGAATAAACATGAAATAACATGTAAGGACAGATGAGAAGAAAGTAGAAAAAAGAGGCAGAGATAGTTTGAGAGAAAGATGGAAATGAGGCACAGGGAGATCGCTAAAATTTTCTCACAAACAGTAAGCTGTTAGAGCACCAAGTACAAGTATAGACTTGGCTACAAAAGAAAATTGGGGAGTCTCTGGTCTCTGAGCAGGTCAGCTTTGATATGAAGCATTTTTCATCACAGATCTTAGCTCCACTTCTGTTATTTTAGGTCTCACAGAAAAAAGGGTAGGGAACCATGACCTGAAAGATAGGAGTCCTCCAATCTAGATTCAGTTTTGTTGTGGTATCTTAAGCCAGTCGTTCCCCCTTTCCTGGACCTTGAATAGCTAGTGAAATGGGAGGAAAGGTCTCTTAGTATTTTATGCATCTATTCTTTACAACTAAAATTCTGGTGTCACTGAGATCCCCCAAGTAGTTCTGGGGTCCCTTCTTTAAAGGATAAAGAACAGGTAATTGCTTTGTAAAAAAAAAAAAAAAAAAAAGTAACAAGAGCATTCTGGATTAGGATTAGAAGGATTAGAAAGAGCTGGCAGCAAGCCTCTAATTCTTTGGAGAAAAGACTCTTCCACAGTCCCATTTTCAGGCCTTTATTCATCATACTACAGCACAATTAGGCAAGCTGCTCAGTTGTTCCAAATATCTATCTGTCTTTGCAAAGTATCTTTCAGGCCTGTCAAAGCAGTGTTGAAACATACAGCACTCTCCTCTGTGAATGCCATTATGGACAGAGGCTTGGCATTATATTAATTACATTAGCTGGCTCAGGACAACATAATCTCAGCTGATTAACAACATTCCTTACTCTCTTTCCCCTGTATTTGTGTCCTCTGCCTGAATCTTTTTGTTCTTTTGTTTATTCACTCATTCATCCTTGCAATAAATATTTACTGAGCCCTTAGTATCTGATACTGATATGTGATATATATCAGTATATATTAGTAATAAAAACGGGTAAACTCTCTTCCCTCATAGATTTTCCTGACTTTCTTTCTGCATTTCCTTTATCTTAATTGAAACAAACAAAAAAATAGTTGAAACACCCTTTAGCTATAATTAGGGTGCTTGTGTTCTTGTCCCAGCTGCGCTATGAGTCTAAGGGGTAAGTCTATTAACCTCTCTGTATATAATTTTCCTCTTCTGTACTCGAAATGTTGAACAAGACTATCTTAAAGAATTTCTCACATGGACTTTTTCAGTAGCTCCTAACTAGTCTCCCTGCTTTCATTTTGCTCCTGCCATCCCAGAAATTTTATTCTTGGAGGTAGTACCTGCTCTAGTCCCCAACTTCCTCTCTAATCTCATCTTCTATCACTGTTCCCTGCACTCACTCTGTCCAGGCACACTGGTCTCCATGCTGTTTCTTGTACACTCCAAACATACTCCCCTCTCCGGGCTTTTACATTTGCTTTTCCCACTGCTTAGAAAGCTTTCCATACCTGCCCCCAAGGTTCACATGACTCATTCCTTCACTTCCTTCAATTACATAAATGCCTTTTCAGGAGCCATTCTCTGATATGATCACCTTACATAAAATAGCACCTCCATGCCACTCTCTGCCCTGCCTTTTTCTTTTTAGTTCTTATGACTGCCTAACTCATCATATATTTCCTTGTTTGTCTTGTTTTCCTCCAATAGAAGATGCATACCTTTAGAATAGGGCTCTTGGCTTGTTTTGTTCCCTGCTATATCCCCAGTGCCAAGAATAGTACCAGATACACAGTAAATGCTCAATAAATGTTTGTTGAATGAATAAAATAATGAATCTTTTCTAGTAATAAAATAAGTCTCACCGTGTGTCAAAATTTATTCATACTTAGTAGGGCTCAAATCTGGCTACTAGGATCTATAAGAGACCAGTCAAGTATTAGAACTACGCTGGAGTCAGACTACACAGAAAAGTTACCAATAGAAATGAGCCATTAGCTGAAGCCAATCCATTCCATTCCTTGAAGATTTTTGTTTCATAGCATGGTAAGCTACAATAAGGTTAGACTTAAATATTTATTCTATGCAGTTTCTTGCAGTGAGAAAAGTGGCATTACTACCCTCATTTCACTTAGGCCTGGAGTTTAGTCATTTATCCAACATAACCAACCTTTTTGAAGCAGAGATAAAATAAGGACATAAATCCCTGACGGCCAAGCCCACAGTTGTTTATTTTCAATAGTGACCTAAACAAGAACAAAAAGATCTGTACAGGCATAAATATGTGATATGTAGGGTAAAAAGTGTAGATTAACATGAGGGACTCTTCCCACTGAACTTCTGAAGCAACTGCATGTTCCAAAAGTTTATCTTATATACTGTTTATTTTATACACTATCAGTATATACTGTGTTGTTTATCTTATATACTGTCATATCCCCAATACTTGGCACATGCTCATTTCATGTGTACTGATTAAATGAAAGTATCAGCCTCATAGTAAACAGAGGCCTATTAACAAACAGGTGCCCCTCCACCACCCCAGGTAATAATTACTCTTACCTCCTGCACAGGCCACAGCCTTGGAGCCACTCACACTCATGAACAGCAACACACACTCAGCACCCCTTGAAGGAAAAGAAAAACAAATTTCCACATACTGCATCACACCTGGCTATGCAGGTATTTCCTAGTCAGATGAGGAACCAGGACAAAATTGCCAGCTTACGGCTTGTTTCAGTACTTCTAGGACCACCACAAAGACACACATAGATACATACACATCTATGTGTATGTAGAGAAAGACCCATTTACAAATACAAACGTACAAATACACATATGCATATCAAAATCACTTCAGAATTAGGCACGATACAAATCATAAATAAATTTGTATACACAGTAACCTACAAGCTGGTTTTGCCCTAGCATACTCACAAATGTACACAAACACATACGCAAAGATAATACTTACCTCAAGGTTTGACTGTGAAAAGTAAATGAGATTATGTGAATTCACAGTAATTTCTGACACATAGAAACCATGCTAATAAAGGTTAGCTCTTGATTACATATATAAAAATACATATATTATACATTATATTTAAATTTGTATCCAACTCATATTAATATACACCTTCAAAACAAAATTTCCTTTTCAGTCACTATGCAGAATATCATGGAAATTCTAGACTGTGGGAGCCAATAACAGAACCGGTAGTGTGGGGTATGCTATTGTAGTACAGGGGGAGGGGAGGGGAAATCCTACTGGTAAGAGGCTAGTAAACAAGACTTTTCAGATCCTTTCTGCTTGGGAGAAGGCCTAGCCTTGGAGGGAGCTGAGCTGATGAGTATTCTTGGGAGATCAGCCAAAGGAGTTTCTAACGTTATTGGGTAAGGAGGAGGGGTTGTCCTCTCTCAGTAGCCTTGGGCGAGAGAGTCCCCAGAGTCCCAATGAGTTCAAATCAGCCAGAAAATCCTTTAAAGTATTTATCCTATAGTCCCACAGCTTGGGGAAAATCTGATTAACTCCATCTCACCAGATGGGCTTTACAGTGAAATGTATAGCTGGTTTCTAAGATTCAAATAAGGTGGGAAAACAGAGGAAGAAATAACGAAATGTGAGTCATAACACATCCCTGTGTGTACAACTTGGCTCTGCCATCAATTTGGAGCAAGCCACAGCTCTGTGAGGCTCAGTTTCCCCAGCATATAAAAGGCGAATAAAACTGTCTCCTGTCCAGTTGGAAGAAGGTGCTTTTATTCCCTCTCAAAAGGGTGCCAGCCACAACACCTCCCACTCAACGCTGGAAACTGCTCAAAGAATTTCTCTCGTATTTCCCTGCTGCGGTGACCCTGGAGGGGGTCTTTATCCACCAGACTTCTTTTTGGATATTCCTCCTTTCTTTCTAGGGCCAAATATTATAACTTCAGAGCTCTTTTAAAAAAAATCAGGGATCTGGTTCAACTCTTCCCTTTTAAAAGGATAAATTGAGCCCAGAGCACGTCTTAACAAGGAACCATGTGTTTTACTCACATACAACTGCATTCTTTAAAAATCAAGGCAACCTTTTGAGAGACCTAGAGAGATTAATTCCATATCCTCTCTCACCCCACCGCTTACACGGAAAGAAGCTTGGGGGTAGGAAGGGGATTGCGCAGATCTCGTCCAGCACTCTAAGCGTTAAATTCAACCCGGAGTCTAACAGGCTATTGGCCGAATACCGGGAGAAGATCTGGTTTTCGTAGCCGCGGGCCAATGAACACCTCGAGTGGGAGGGTTTGAAGATACTAAGGAGTTTTCCCCCTTTTTTTTTCCCCCTCAACCCCCTCCCATCGGCTATCACCCCTCCCATCCCCCACGCCTCCAGTTTGTTAAATTAATGCAGTAAGAAAGTCTGAAGATCTGAAGGAGTCTTGACCAAGGGAAGATGAGCGAGCTCAGAAAACCGAGATGCATCTGAGACATTGGGCTTCAGAGCCCCGCGGGGTAGCCAGGGACCCCGGTAGCCCCTGAAACTTGCCCTGGGCTCTCTGACGCCTGCGGCCCCGAGCAATGGGACACCTTTTCTGCAGTGATCACAACTTATTCGGCGGGGACCGGGAAACAGGAATAGCAAGGCGACAGCAGACCCGCACAGAGGCAGGAGAACGAGATTCCGAGACTGGATTGCGATGCGCCAGCCTGGCACACTCTCCGAGATTTAACTGAAGGCAGCGCCGTCAACCGCTTTCCCCTCGCCCCTAACCCCCTCAGGCCGGCCCAGAGCCATAAAGCTCTGTTCTCTTTACCCAAGATGCTCGCCCAATCCAACGGTCCGAGGCCAGCGCTCTGATCTCCACAGAAGATTTTTTTCCTTGCAGGGAGCTGGCCGTTTAAACAGAAAAACAGGGGTTTAAAAAAAAAAAAAAAAAAAAGGAAATATACCCACCCCCAAACGTGCCTCCCCAGCGCCGCAGGGAGCCAACAGACACGCTGGAGTTTAACAAACAGCAATACTCTTCGCGCTCCTGAAAAGCAGGTCTGGACGCTCTCCGTGGTGCTGAAACGCCTCGCAGCCGCCGCTGTCCGTGGTATCTACGACCCCCTCGCTCCAATTTCCCCTGGGGCTCTCCCTCCGCGCCCCTGTTCCCCGCCTCCCTTTAACATCTGGATTATTTTTTGCAATAGCGCTTTCTGGTTTTGTAAGTGCCAATTTGAAACATTTTTGCCCCCATAACTCGTGGACTACAAAGCACAAGGACCTGAAAAATGTACAGCTTCAATACTCTTCGACTCTACCTTTGGGAGACCATTGTATTCTTCAGGTATGCAATTTTCTACTGACCACATCGCTCTGATGGAAATGGGGGGAAAGAGTACGGAGGCTACCTCTGTCCGTGGTCCCATCATTTTGGGGAAGAGGGGTGCTGTATTCCACTGCAATCGGGTCCTTCCATCCCCCGTCTCCCTTCTCCCCCCTCCCACCCCCCGCCACCCACCCCACCCCCGCCCGCAGGGTGTCTGGCTTGTGCGTGGAGGTCTGAGACAGTCGCTGTTCTGGCAGCTGTTTGCCTGTTTCTTACGGTTTGTTTGTCCTTCTGTCTGCTACACCCCCCACTATTGGTCCCCAGCCCCACTGCATGTTGGCTTTCACTCGGCTGAGGACTTTAAAGGGAAGCTTTAGGAGTTACTCAGTTTAATTAGGACTGCATTCTCCCTAACCGCAGTGCCGAAAACCTCAGCTTTCCCGTCTGGGAGCCAAGTGACAACTAGCGGTGACGGGGAAGGTTGCACTCAAACTCGCTGGACACAGATCATTTCATTTTCTGTCCTTTTTTGCTGTTGTTTTCTTTTTCTGCGAAGAGGGAGGGGGATTACTAAGGCTGAGTGCTTGGAAACAATAGTATTATAACCTCAGTGTGTAAAGCCCTGAACTTGGGTGCAGAGTGGATCTATTTAGGAACATACTGGGAAACATTTCCCTTTTGAAACTTTGACTGCCTCTTTCCCCAACCCACCTTTCCAAACTCTGTTAGCTGCAGATCCTGAACTCATGAGCAATCTTCATTTGCTTTGTTTTTAAATTTATGCTTATATTTGACTCAACAGCTGAGTTATCCCATCCACTGTCTCTCAGGTTAAAATTTTCTGCCTGAAGACTTGTCTTTCTTATGTTAGTAGAAGTGAAAAGTGAAAAATCACCTCTTTAAGAAGCATTGAAATAGATAGTCCTTTAGTAAGTGTGTGAATCATACCATCTTCAGAGATGGCTATGATAAATTCCACTTATATGAATTGAAAAACATTATTCTTCTTCCATGACATGCAGGGATCATTAATCTTCCTCATTTTAGATGCCTGCCTCTCATATTTTACTGTGGCATTGGATTAACAGTCATTTGAAAAACCCACCCCAAATTGTTTTTAAAAATAAGTGGTCACCAAATATTACCCTCTCCCAACATAAAACAGCAAATAATTTTTGTTTTATTACAGTTCATAGGAATTGCTGATTTGACTAATCTGTTGGCTGGTTTATTAAATGACACCTCCCCTCAAATAGTAAGTTTCTGTATTTCAGTCTCTTTTCATGTCTCTTGAGATGAAGAAAAGGCATCCCCCCTTATCTGAGATACCCAATGCTAAAGCTTCTAATCTCCTGTTCAAACAATTATTTTGTAGGCCACAGAGTCCTGACCACAGATCAGACTGCAAATAGTCAGAGAGTCAGATAGAATGAAAAAGTACAACAATCCAGGGCCTTATGAAACGTATCAAAATGTGGCTACTTTATGGGGGAAAGGGCAGGAAGTATTCTATTTATAATATGAGATCCTTTATCCCCTGCATATTTAATAGAACTACAAATGTATGGAGGTTGGGTACTTTGTAACATTTGTATGCAAATTGATTCTCTGCTTGGTCTACAGGAGACAGAACTGAACCAGAGAGATTTAAGAGCAAATTAATAGAACCAAGCACATCTTTCTCCCCACACACACTCTCTCTTTTTTTCTTGATGAGCAGTATGCAATGCTTGATTTTCCTCTCCAGACATTGTCTTTCACAAAAGGGAGACTCAGTCTAAAAGGTCTGGATTGTAGTCATTTTGATAAGGTTATGAATCCACTGTGTTAATTCTTCAACTAAGCTGGTGGTGGCCTAACAGAAAACATCATTCTACATCTCTTTCCCCTACGTGCGTGAACGCACACATGAGCTACAATGGATGTGGGATATAATTCTACGTGTTTATAAGGAAAGAAGAGTTATAACTGTGGAGAGCTGGAAATGTGGGTGGCACCACTGCACTTTCAAAATATAGGAACGGCTACTTCATTAGGGGAGTAAATGTTGATTTTTGAAACACAATACAGACAATAATTGAACTCAGGAAATTCAGCAATTTTTCAGAGAGATTAAAAAAAGGTCACAAGGAAGCAAAGTGAGCAGATTGTATTTGTTCAATTGGTATTTTCATTTCTAAGTCACTCACTTTTAAAATTCCAGGTGAAAATACAGAAGCATTATAATGTGAGGACTTATTAGAATGTATTTGGGGGTAGATGGAGGCTGGCAGGTCTCTAGCAGGTTCCATGTGAATAAACCCTTCTTCCCCAGGGGATGGGTGCTGTGTTGGAATGGCCAATCCAATCATCTCAGTCACCCAGGTACTCCTTAGAATAAATGATGCCAGCTGCTCACCTTGTTGGGGAAATCGGGGGCTAGGAAAGGCTCTCAATAACAGACATGCTGCATCAGCACATAACCAGCGAAATGGCAATAACAACAGCAAAACAAACAAACAAAAACAAAAATCGAGTGAATGAGGCGGAAATCCCATATGGTACCAACACAGAGGAGGAACTGGGTCTTAGAAAGGGAAACATGGGGTCCTGGAAGACAAAAAGCATTGCATGCTCATCAACTGTGTCTTCATAAGTAAGATCGGGTGATTTGGCTAAAGTTCCTGATTTGATATTTTAAAAACCTATGGTTCTAAAATTCAGTAAGTGGCATTCTGAGAGTCAATAACCTAAATGTTTTCCCTTATTTTCATTTGAGAATGGGGCCCTGTAGCCAGACTGGTCAAAAATAATAGGCAAATTTTTTTAATGGTAGAAGCACGTTTCTTTCAAATGTCCTCTCAAGCCGAAGTGAACTTGGCTTTGATCCCCAGAGCCCTTACAGAGGCTTATGGCTGGGTCAGGCCCAGTATGACCCCAAAATTCTCTTGCCTTCTGAGCAACTCAAACAGACACATGTTTCTCCAGCTCTGCGCTGTTGACACTTTTAACTGGATAATTCTTTGTTATGGAAGTTGTCCTGGGCATTGTGGGATGTTTAGCCGCATCCCTGGTGCTAGTAGCACTACCTCCCTGAGTCATGACCATCAAAAAATGTCTCCAGACCTTGCCAAATATACATCCTGGGCAAAGGGGAGACAAAATTGTCCAAGGTTTCAAACCACAGTACAGAATGACCAAATTTTTAATCAGCTGCTCCAATGTAGTAATTATAACGAGGAGGAAAGTCTAGCTTCCTTGAGAAAATGCCCCTCATGAAATATATAAAGCACCCTGATAAAACAAAAATGGACCTAGCATGTGCTTGAGAAGGGAATAAAGGCAGGGAGATAAACCAGATCTAATCCCTGGGTGGTTTTCCCAAAAGATGATCAGCTTTTCTTTAATGTGCTACTTCCCTCTTCCATCCCAGTAGATGCTTCCTTGCACTGGATTTTGTACTGAATATGCCACTCAACTGCTAACAAAGGTCATCAAAACCTTGAAGGGAAGATGTTTCTATCCACATTAGGATCAAAAGGAAAATGACAAATACATTGTTTCATATCTCAGTCCTAAAGAAAAAACCTACCCAGTTGAAAGGTGAATGGGCTTTTCCTTGAGGTGGCCCCTGTGGCTTCTCCATCTCCAGGCTTGTCAAGAAGGGCAGATGACTGTCTTGATTTTTCCCTTCTTGAAGGAGAGCTGTACTCCACCTTGAATCTTACCTGCTGCATTTTGGCACTGCAGAACGTGCCTAGGAGTTTCTGACATGGCCCAAGGACTTTTCTCCAAGGAATGAAGTTCCTTGGGCAAGTTTGTATTAGCATCAAATTAAGTATTTGATTAATTAAGAATACTTAATATTAAGTACCTTATATTAAGTATTCTTACTGTAAATAACAAAAAGAGAGTCTACTCCCTTTTTGGGCTTAGGAACCTTAAAAAAGAGAAAAGAAAATGTTACGATTTGGCTCCTGAAGGACGGGTTGGACAGGGACCCTAGGCTGGTAAATAGAGTTATGAATCAGCACATGACTTCTGCATATTTGCCAAACTGGTAATGACTTAAGCAGAGGATATTTAGGAAATTGTTTTCTTTAGATTGTCTTATGAAAGAGGTTACGGCCATGTGGTGCAGCGGGAAGAGAAGTTGGGCTATAATTTGAGAACTCCTGCCTCTAGAGTCAGCTCTGCTTCCATCCCATAGCATGGGCATAACAAGTCTCTTCCTCTAATGGGGACTCAATTTTCTTACCAATCAACTCAAATGACTGAATCTGACACTTCTACATTCTCTCCAACCCCTAATAAGATCTTCATCAAAGGCAGGGGCCCATACCCACAAAGGTTCAGGATGAATTGACCAGTGGTGATGCTGCCTTCATTTCTTCACCAGGAACTTGTTTATCATGTGCTTATGTGTCCAGTCTAAAACTAAACACTCTGCAGGCACAGATGCCAGAGTCCCTGTCATTGCAGAAAGGGGAGACACTGCTCCCTTTAAAGGTACATTAAAATCCTTTTTTCCTTCTTCAGAGGACCCACAGAGCTCCCCTCCAGGCAGCCTGTTCGCGCGTCCTGCGACAGCATCACATTTATGTGGGCGTCATTAACTTTATTTCCTTCATCAGCTGGCAGAAGCCAGCATGATTTTTAAGATGGATGGCACAGTCTCCCTGCCTGGCCATCTTGAAACTATTCTGCAGGTTCGCATTAAACAAAGAGGCTTTGGCCTAAAGGGAAGGAGACCTAGGATCCAGAATTTAGCTAGTGGCATGACCTTGAGAGGGTTCTATGACCTTTCTGGCTCTCAGTTTCCTCAGCTGTAAAATGAAGAGATTTGGCCAATCACGTTCTAAAATCACTTTTAGCTGTGCCAGTTTAGGATATCTTCTCCAGATCTCTTCCAATGATAGCACAGCTTTGGTTACAGCTATTGAAGTGTATTTCAATTATTATAAGAAATAGCCACATCGAGGTATAGTCAGGCTCAAAGGTCTGAAAGAACTGAGGACCTCACTAAGCAATTCACCTTTTGGAGAGTTATCCCGACCCAGACATGATTATTGACAGATCCTATACATATGTCAGTTTCTGTGGGAAATGTTTATTATGATGAGAAAACATGATGCCTGACCACTATACTCACAGATCTGAAAAACGGTGTGAGAAAGAGAGACCAAACATTTCTGTACTTTTTATCAATGATTCTGTTTGGCTCTTTTTTCCCTCATAAAGCCTATGTTTTTGTTTTTTGTTTTTTCAAAAAAAATTGTTTACCAGATACCATTCATCATTAACATATTTTTCCCATCTTTATTAATCAAAGGCACAAGTAACCGCCAGAAATACTAAATACCATGGGATAAGCAATGTCACCACATTGAGTTGACCTAAGAAAAAACAAAAGTAAAGATATGTGATTCTTTTTAGTTAATCCAGAGAGTCTTGTCAGAAGTAAATATGCAATTTGTTAGAGCCTTTGAAATGTTTAAAATGCACTCTGAGTCCTCATTACTATTTCATGAATCTCCTATGTACCCAGGGACCCCATATTGGGAAACATTAGATTTGATTTATTCTATATAGCTCCAAGAGAAGAATCAGAGTAAATTCATAGATTCATAGATTTTTTTTAATGCACTCTTACAAATTTGGACTCAATATAAGTCAGAACTTTCTGGTAGCTCTTTCAAATGATACTGTGGGCTGCCTCAGTGGTAGTGATGGTGTCTGTCAGTGGAAGTGTGCAAGCAGAGACTGGACGTCCACCTCCCAGGAAAGACATAGAAGGAATTCAAGCTTCTTTTGCAAATTGAGATTTGTAATTTGTTGCAGAAGAGTGAATGAAATGCAAGTCAGAGACAATCCCTCGCAATTCTATATTCCCTCCTTTTCTGATTTCCAAATTGCTATCCAATCTTTGTAAGCTCTTCAAATCATGACATGAATACCCACTAACTGGGATCTTTTTCTTCTTAAAAATGGATTGGATAACTAATAAATTGGACAATGAACATACAAACACCATGCAACAAAGAATTATTAAAAGGAAATCACCTTGGTTATGCAAAAGCCTCGTTTTAAGAAATGAGAAGGGCCTCAGAATGAGCCAGAAAAAAACTACCAGAAAATGCACTTGTCCACGGACAAGGCCACAGGCACCGGATGGTGTTCACAGGACTGACGGCCTCTCAGCCTTGAACTCCAGCTGTCTCCCTGAACCAACTCCCTGTAAAGCCTAACACACAAAATGAAAACACTATACAGCCAGCCAGCAAATTCATTCAGAAAGCACATTAGAAGGGAACAATGCCCAGAGATGCTGGGGAGAGGGGCTTATCCACACAGTGCCTATGCTTTGTAATGCAAGCTCTTATGAGGGGTACTGAGGCCCCAAAGCTTTTGAAACTCCTTACAAAGGATCCCTTTGTGATTTTCTAAAGTTGGTATTGTCCAAGTCTCCTGAGGCTAATTCAATGCAATTAGATTACCACTCTCTGCCTTTGAATTGGGCTGTTTTTCAGTGTCCGTTGCTCTAAATTAGTTTACCATCTTAACAGGGAGCTGCCGACAATCATTAATCCCAGCCATGAAATGGGCAGCAGCCCTGAGCAGCATGCTCTCTTGCCTCATATTCTGGGCAACCCACAGGCACATGGAGAACAAGCCTCTGCTCCCTTTCTCACAAGTACATTCCCAACTCTTCCACCTGTTCACCCCCAGAGAATTGCACTTTCCTTCAGAGTGTCTTGAGTATCAACAGAATCATGGAATCTTGCGGTAGGAAGGACTCTTAGCTCTAGAATTCAATGGCTGTCAAAGTTAGCTGTGAGGGGCTTGTCAAAAAGACAGATTCCCAAACATTTGTTAAGAGGACAGATCTTATATTAAGTATTCTTACTGCAAATAACAACAATAATAATAACAAATATATAAAAGAGCAAGAGGAAACTTTTGGGGGTGATTGATAGTTTATGGCATAGATTATGGTGATGGTTTCATGAGTATATACTTGTCTCTAAACTCATCAAGTCCTAAATATGTACAGCTTTTGTATGTCAATCACACCTCAATAAAGTGGTTTTAAAAATTAAATAAAATGAAATACAGATTATCAAAATCATATCAAACTACTGAAACAGAATCTCTCAGAATGGGGACCCAGAAACCCATAATGTCAACAAGAGTCTTTAAATCAGTGCTTTTCAAACTTCAGTGTCCAGGATCACCTGAGGATCTGCTAAGATGCAGATTCTGACTCAGGAGGTCTGGGGTAGGCCTGAGCATCTGCATTTCCAAAGCGCACCCAGAAGATTGATGCTGTTGCTTCCTTGGACCAAAGGTTTGCACAGCAAGGCTCTAGATCATTCTGACTGAGAACGCCTGACATACATCAACCCTTTTATTTTGCAGATGTAGAGGGGATAAATAACTACCTCAAGTTTATAGAGTGGGTGACAGAGCTCTCAAAGCCATAGATAATCCCCAAACTTACTCCACTACATATCGTCTCTAGAGTCCATACACCCTAACTTTGCCACCGCACTTTCTTTCCTTCAATCCTCCCACACTCTGTCCTTTCTCATAAACACAAACACACTCACCCTTCCAGAGGGTTCTTCAGGGAGCTATCCCTATCCCCAAACTGGTGGCCTGGTCTCTGAAGTCCTGGTGCACCAAAAGCTCTCATTCACACAGCTGGGAACTCTATGTGACACTAGATAAAGAGAAGGGGCACCCGGGCAATGAGTTTTAAATCCTGGCCCTGGGACACAGCAATGAGAGTCTGTCAGGATTGATAAAGGAGGTGAATCAAGATGGTCAGAAGGAGAGGGTATGTGGTTTCTTTCTCCAAAGATAATCTCACTTAACAGTCTTCCTGTGTACGTTGTACTCTCAACTTTGCATAGCTAGAGGCTTGCTTAGGCCTCCCAGATGTTCAGAGACCACTGCCACATTCTACCACCTGTCTGACCTCAGGACCATGATCTTCCTTTTTCTCCATCCCTTTAACCTGTCAGCCTTTCTGCAAATCATGTCAGTATTTTACACACCAGAGTAACTACTATGATCTTCAGCCTTCTGAGAGCTGCGTGTTTATTGCTGTGTGCTCAGTTCTGCAACATTCGCCAGCTCCAGAGGAATGCGGCAAGGCTGCTGCAACCCTGGCTGCCAGGCAGATTTGCAGTACTGTCTTATAAAAAGTACTTCACAGGTTATAGCATGTTTTATATCCATGATCTCATATAAGCTGCCCAATCACCTTAAAAATTAGATATAGGACAATGGTTAGTATCCCCATTTTAGAGCTGAGAAAACTGAGGCTTAAAGAAAAAAAGGTGATTTGCCTTTTGGTAACAGCAGGTAACCATGCTGTTATTCTCAGAGTAAAACCAGGATTCAAATACAGATCTCCTTGCTCCTCCCTCACCATACTGATACATAGAGATAGACAGATAGATAGAGATATATTTATGCAGCCACTTTGAGCTGGTACAGCTTTCAGTCTAATAACCCTCCCCCTCTACCAATGGATAAAAGGGGTGGAAAGAAGCCTAGAAAAAAAGAGCTGGAAATTTTTCATTGGCCTTTGGTTTGACAGAGCCTTGTTCTTCCTACTCTTGGCCAGATAGGCATTTATTTCTCTGTCCTTGATCACGTTTAACTGCACAATGTCTGCATACATTACCTCTTTAAGGAATTATAATACTACACCAAAGCCTGAGATCCCCTTTGATAATGACCTCTAGGTCCCTTTCAACTGTTATCCTTTTTGATAATTTTTTATTCATATATATATATATATATATGTATTACATATACATTACATACACACATGTATATAACCATTGAAATATACAATCATTTCATGGAATCATATTTTCTATGTAATTTACTATTTGTTTTGTTCACATATTAACATGTCTTGGGAAGCCTTACCTGTTGAAGCATACAGTTCTACTTCATTCTTTTAACCACTGCAGAGCATTTTATGTTATGGATGTCCCATTGTTTTCTAGCCATCCCCTATTGATGAACACTTATACTTTTTCTAATTTTCCCACTGCAATCAGTGCTGCAATAATTACAGTGTACCTACAACTTTATGAAAACATGTGGTATTTCTCCAAGTAGATAATAAGAACTAGGAATGAAACTGCTGGGGTACAGAAAAAATGCATCTTATATGTTGATAGATAACTGCAAACAGATATTCCTTTCTTCCTGAGCCTTCTCTTCTGCCTTCCCTCAGGATGCCCCATCTCAGCCCCAACTGCAACAACTCATTAAAAATAATCATTAGCATTTATTGAGTGTTTACTGAATGCTAGATACTATGCTAACAACATCATATACCCTACCTCATAATTCTCAAAAAAAATACTATTATGTTCTATTATAAAAGTACTATCCTATCCCCATTTTACAGGAGACAAGACTGATACATAAAGAGGTTATGTAACTTGCCAAAGGTAAGACAACTAGTAAAAGGCAGAGCTAGGATTGAAAATTGGGTGTGACTATAGAAAACACTCCTTTCACCATTACCCTGCCACTATTACTCTAAGAATGAACCAGGGAGGAGGAAGGAGGAGACTAGACTGGATGAGAGAGACGAAAGATATGAATTTGCCTCTCTAGAAAATCAAGAGCTAATCTCTTGCAGGTGGTTCTGGATAGTTAAAAAGTTATTAACATGCATCTGTAAGTAGATACGAGCTCTCAATCTCTATCCTTGACGTACAAGAGAAATTGCACTAGCTCCCACCCCCATTATAAAGTGTGTGGTTAGAGCTCTGACAAGGGGTAGAGATGGTCAGCCACTGAACGTCCTTTCTCCTTTGTCCCACCTGCCTTTTGACCAAGATCATTTCATTGAGAAAGCTAGCTAGGAATGTGGGGGAGAATTTCTGACTGAATCAGGAGGTCAAGAAGAAGGGCAGCATAGTCTCTGGCCCAAGAAGAGAATTTTTAAAAGTCTTGGTCCCTTATACTCAGACCAAAGACATTTTTAGCTGTGTTCTCTAACCCCCAGACACACAGGAGTATACCCAGTCTCCCTTATCTTCTGTATGTGCCCCACCTCAAGCACTAAAGGTCTCACCGCATGCCCCAGATTTACCACTCCCAAAGCAGACCTTCAAAGCAGGTTTCTCTTAACATCTCTAAGCCAGAAAACCACATCCAGCCCAGACAAGGCAAGGGGAGCAGAAAGGGCCAGCCCTCCATAATAGCCGTCAGCATCACCCCTGACATGGCCTGTGGGAAACTCAGGCAATGCTGTCTCAGACATCTGTTTTCAATAGCTCTCTGAGTGACACCAGAGACACTTTCCAATGTGTCCCTACAAGCCCTATTGCTATTAGAGAAAAAGAATACAATAGAAATAAAGTCTCCTAATATCAACTCTTAAAATAGACCTGCTGGTTTGTCATTTTGTTTTCCTTTATTTTGTTTTTTACACTACAAATACATATTTGTTGTAAAATATTAAACAGCATAGGGAGATATGTTTGAAACTAAAATACATGTAAATCTTACTTCCTAGGATAAATCACTTAACGGTTTGATATTATCCTCCTAAATGGTTTTAATAACATAATAATAACAAAAACATGAGTGCTTCCTTCGTGCCTGACACCTTTCTAAGAGCTGGATAGAACTTAACCCATGTAACCTTCAGAACAATCCTATAAATCATATACTATTATTCATTTCATTGTACAGATGAGGTTAAATCATTTTCCTAGGATCACCCAGCTTGGAAGTGTCAGTGTGGGATTGGAATCCAGGAAGTGTGGCTTCAGAGAGCCTTTAGCTGCTGTGCTACTGTAGTAAGCTGCTTCTGTTTTACAAAAATGGGATTATTCTAAACACCATGTTTGGCAACTTCTCTTTTATCACTCAGGAATATCTTGTCAGTGTGCATATGGATCTACCTCATGCATTTTTGCAGTTGTGCTGCCCTTCTCTTGAAAATGCCAGGTTTTAACATAATACGAAACTCTCAGCTTGCCGCACACAGCCCCCACTGCTATTTACAACTCCTTTACTTCACACAAACTGAATTCCAACCCAAAATGGATTTCTCATTGTCCATAAGCAGTACATCCATAAGTCTCACCTCTGTATTGTAACTCATGTTGTGCCCTATACTCTCCATAAATCTGGAAAACTTCCCCCTCACTCTGGTGTAAAAGACACACCAACCAGCTCTAGGTTCAAACTCATCTGATTTTGAATCCTGCCTATGTTACTTCCTTGCTGTATGGTCTTGGCAGTTTGCTCAATCTTTCTGAGCCTCAAGTTCCTCATCTTAAAAACTGAGAATAACAACTTCACTGATAGATACACGAAGTCCCACTTCAAACACATTTTCCTATCAGAGCACAATCCCTTAACAAACGGTAATTTCCTCTCCTTCTCTCTGAGATGCTATCCATGCCTTAAGACCCATCTCTAGCATCATTTCCTCCATGAATTGTCCCTGGATTGCCTCTATACCTAGCCCCAGCTGGGCACGGACTCTTCTTCCTAAATCCTCTTGGAAATATAGGCATTATCCTTAGCACTCAGTTTGTTTAAAGGGACCTTACATACATTTGGGTGTCCCTCTAGCTTTCCTGTTGGATTGTAAGCCCCTCAAAGATTAGAGCTTAATGAATTTCTTGATGCATGTGAAAAGCAAACAGGAAGAAAAGAGAAACATCTCCTGGTGCTTTTCAGAGTTTTCAGCTTACTCCACTACCCCCTCATAGATAATGTCATCCCAGGGGTTCATGTATATCAAACACTCAGTGTTTGTTAAATCAAATTGCTTTGTCCCCAAATGCCTGCTCCCATCCTCCTTCTATTGGCTCTGCAGAAGCCCAGGACCTGAAAGATTCCAAACAACCAACCCTAAAGCACTGCTGTATCTCACCATGACCACTTTCTGCTCCAAGAAATGAGTCACAGTGAGAATGTGAGCTAGATATGGCAGCGCAGCCCTGGCTCCGTAGCTGTTGCAGTGAGTTGCTCGCTCAACCTTTCCCTTGCTCTCTGACAGGGCATGTCCAAACTCTGGGCCTCTCAAAACATCTGAGCCATTGCAGATAAGGTTGCTCTTCACCATCACCAAGTCCTGCAGAGAAGCCCCTTCCATAAGACAAGGAAAACTTTCTAAAATAATTTTAAATATGAAGAAAGTATGGACTTACCTCAGTTAAAGGTAGTTTCCTCAATGTGACCTAAAACATCTAGTAGAAAAAAAAAAAAAAAAAACAGTCTTCACAGGAGCCAAATAAGAGACTGCATCATGCCCAGAGAGAGGGTGCTTGAATAAATGTATTGAATATGGCTTGGACTGTAAAAAGCTATGCCTACTGAAAAAAGGAGGTGATACGGCCCAGAAAAAAATGTAATGCTCCATGCTGCCCAAAATTGGACAGCCTAGATATTAGAGCAAGATTTTCCTTCCCCTGCAAATTCTGCTCTAACTTTGTAACTAGTCTCAGCTTTTCCATGCCTAAAATGAGACAGAACTATGTAAAGACTACAGGTCATTCCAGCTGTCATTGCCTAATTCTTAAATTAAGTTGGCATATTGAAGGCCCAGCAGTTAAAAACTCTAGCTTGGGGCCGGGCGCGGTGGCTCACGCCTGTAATTCCAGCACTTTGGGAGGCCAAGGCAGGCAGATCACGAGGTCAGGAGATCGAGACCATCCTGGCTAACACGGTGAAACCTCGTCTCTACTAAAAACACAAAAAAAAATTAGCCAGGTGCGGTGGCGGGCACCTGTAGTCCCAGCTACTCGGGAGGCTGAGGCAGGAGAATGGCGTGAACCCGGGAGGTGGAGCTTGCATTGAGCAGAGGTAGTGCCACTGCACTCCGGCCTGGGCAAAAGAGTGAGACTCCATCTCAAAAAAAAAAAAAAAAAAAAAAACTCTAGCTTGGGAATCAATCATACATATTCCGAAATCCTAGTTATACTACTTGCTATGTGTATGCCTTGGAGCAAGATTATTTTTAAAATTGCTAAGCCTCGATTTTCCTCATCTGTTAAATGGGAATTATAATTATCCCTTCCTGACAGATTATCATAAGTATTAAAAGGGAGAGGGCATATAGTTGGCATTGCATATGGCAAGCAACAAGTGTAAAAAGCAGGAAAACCACTATTACTATAATTAAAGTAGGATAGGTGCAAAGTGTTGTGGGAGCATACAAAAGAGCCTGATTAACTCTGTCTGGAGGTGGGAGATGGTATAAATTGAAGACATTTCACATGACTCAGGATAATTAAACTGGGCCATAAAGAATGACTAATTTACCAGGTAGGCAAAGAGTATCAGGAGAGTGAGGCAAACAAAGGAAAAAGGCTTGCAGAACAGTCAAGCTGAATGATGTTGAGCTCAAGGCCACTGGGTAGGCCAGGCATCCACCCTGTTATGTTGGCTCAGCCCAGTCCTGCTCTGCCCTATTCTCTCCCAATGGGCTTTCTATCAATTAGAAGCCTGGCTGAGAGAGAATAATTTGTTCATTATCCAAAAAATATTTATTAATTCCTACGATAACCAGGAGTTGTTCTAAGTTCTGGGGATAGATACATTGAGGAACAGAGTCATGGTCCCTGCTCTAACACACCTTAACTTCTAGTGGGGGGTACAAACAACTAAACAAATAGAGAAACTATAGAATTGCAGGACCTAGTAAGTGCTATAAACCCAATAAAGCAAGAGAGGGTAACACATAACAGTCTACTATCAACTCCACCCTCAAGGTGCCTACACTTTCATACATCTCCATTATCTCCCTTAAGCCTTATATTATAGGAGATGGGCAGGTTGGAGAGGACTGTTTCTTGTTATAGTTGAGGAAACTGAAACCCTGAGGGGAAAAATGATTCATCCAAAGTCACACAGCCAGTTAGTATCATGGGCAGGCAACCTCATTCCATGCAGAAAAGTCAAAAATGGCCAGGATGAATGATTACGAGGAGTGGAGAGAGAAGGGAAGGCAAATAGCAAAACAGTCTGTACAGTAGGATCCCATTTTTATTTTTTTATATGTATTAATGTTCTCTTATGGGGAAAAATTCTACAAAAATGGACTGAAAACTGTTTATAGTTGTTATTGTCTCTTGAGAATGAGACCATGGGGAACTTTTATTTCCTGCATTAAATATTCCTGTAATACTTGAATGTTTTACAACAATATATATTACTTTTGAAAAGCTGGAAAATATATTTTTTAATAAAAGAGGATGCCAGAGAGTATGGGCATTCAACCAAACTTAGAGCCCACCTTAATAAAAGGCAACCTGTACCAGGTAGGAAAGAAAGACATTTGGAGTCACCCAAACCAGTGCCGTCTTGATTGTTTTCTCTAAGTAAAAATCAGCCTAGAAGCTGAAACTATTTCGTGTATTTAGGAGAATTTTCTGAACAAATGGAAGTTGCTTTTCCCACAGAAGTCATTGTGCTGGAAGCAAAATGTCACTGGAAAATGGAAGGCTAGAGTTATATTATAAAATTGGGTGCTCAGAACAACGTGATGGATGGTACATACTCTCATCAGGGTGACTGGAGCCCTACCCAATTCACTGTGCAATTTCATAAAATACTCCTACTCATGACAAAAAAAAAAAGTTAGAGATGGAAAGAATTACATGTCCCAGTTGTTTCAGTTCCCAGGGAGGAACTGTGGCCAGAGGGAAAGGGACTTGTCCAAAGTCAACAGTAAATTAATGTCCAGCCCAGACAAGAACTGAGAATTCCAAGTCTCTTATTACCATGACAACTTTCCCTAAAATCAAATCAGAGTTACACCAATAGTCTACAAGATACACTATAATGGTACAGGATAATTTTCTCTTATTTTATTTTACTAGGGACCAGAACTTACCAATTCCATTATGATACTGATAACATTTAAGACTAAAAATCAAATTAAAAATAAATTAAATAACAGTACATAAATTGGGCAAAACTTATTATATGACATGCAAGTGATTTTGGTTTGGAGAATACAGCACTCTGTCATCACATCTTAAACACTACCTGGGAGAAAATGGAAAGTATCAGAAGGACTTCTTAAACTGTGTCAGTTCTGAGCAAGGCCTAACTTTACTCTTAACTTCCAAACAGCTTCTTCTCAGGGTAAGTCATGACCATGGGCTGCAATTTGAATTCAAATGGTTGGAGAAAAGATGGTGCCTTTGGGTAAAAAGTGCACACATTCAGGAAGCAGAGCACAGCTGAGATCAGGTCACCCTTTGTGTAATTTGCTGAGTCTCTATTTGAGCTATATTCATAGTTTTCTTTTCTCTCCTTATGTTAGAATGACATCTGTGACTCTCGACCCTTCTCCTTATGGACAGAAATCCCTCTAAATAATATTTATAATTAATAATACCAGCGAATATGAATAACATATATTTAGAACCTACTATATGCCAGAAACTTTTCAAAAAACTTGATATGTATTAACTATTTCATCTTTATAGCTACCCTGTGAGGAAAATACTATGATCATCTCCAGTTTGTAAATGAAGGGACTAAGGCAGTGATCTTACCAACCTAGGACCCCTTTAGGGCACCTTGGCAATTCAAGTTCAAAGTCTTCATATGGAGAAAGACAGTGGACAAACCCCTCCAAAGACATGGCGGGGTAGGATGGAGAAAGTAGATAGAGACTCTGAGGAGGAAAATTGAGGGGCTCACCCCAAATCACAGCCACAATGGGAAGAACTTGACAACACACTTCCCTTTCAGTTCTTCTACCCAAAATCCTGATTTTGTTTTCATTTAACATTATGGGATTAAGAAGCAACAAACGAGAAGAAAGAGTATTGAGCAAGAAATAAAATGAACAATTTAAAAAAAAAACAAGAAAGGGGAGAGAAATGTGGAGATAAGCAGAGTAATAAAGAGGGAAGAGCACTCAACTCAGGTCTACTCTGGGTTCCACCAAGGACTCATTCTGTGAGTCTCTTTCTGTCTTGGAAATGCATTCTTCTCATCTGTAAAATGAATGAGTACACTGTACTAGAGGACTTCTAAGACCTCCCTCAACTTCATCATCCTAGGATTCAGAAACAAATGAAGGAAAAGGAATAAGGTAGAGAAACCAGAAGGGAAAAAGAATGTAGGAGGGAAGAAGCAAAGGTTAAGGAGGAATGATGACAGGAGGAAGAAACAAGAGGATAGAGAAAGGAAGATATTTTCCAAAGCAGTTGGAATCTGCTTATCTTGTTGAAAGAAAAGGAAGGATCCTCACATCAAGAATTCCAACAATAAAAGCTTTCTCTTCATGCAACTAACTCCATGTTTCCTGCTGGTGGGACCCATGGCTGATGTTGGTAGGAGCCTAGACTGATGTCTACAGAACAGGGGCCTGAATGGATACCTGGGAGGAGACAGGATGCTGCCTTGTTCTCAAAGCCCAGGAAGGAAGGCTGCTGAGAGAGCCCTCAGAAGGGCGGCCCTTCCTCCTCTTCCTCACCTCTTCCTCCTTTTCCTCATCCACATCTTCCTCCTCCAGGCCAGATTATGGACAACAATTATTAGCATATTCCCAGGCTATGGGGAAAGTCCTGGGGAAATGACTAGAGAATGTGCCCAAGGGAGCCACAACTGCAACATTACAGCATTGTGCCTGCTAGAAAGAATCCTGGGCATCATCAAAAGGAGAAAATCCCAGGCAAGAAAGAGACCTTCCAAGGTCATCTTCTCCATCTCTTGCCTCTGAGCATCCCTTCCCTAATTGCCCAGGGGCTGCAATCCAAACCAAAAGATTTAGCACAGAATAATACTCAGTCCTATCAGCTAATCTTTTCACAACTGTCTGGGCCATCCCAGGCCTTGAGACTTTTGTAGACAAAGACAGTGCCTCCGATTGATTGAACTCTAATGCATATGGCACAGTGCTGGGCATATAGTGGGCTCCTCAAACCCATCTGATATTTGATCCATAGGGTGACATGATTTATTAGCTGTGTGGTTCTAATCTTTCTCCCAATAATGTCTATTCTATTGCTTAACATTTCAGTTTGAATATTCTTCCTTTTGTTTATTCCACTGCCCCTGTTTTAAAGTCCAACCTGTCATTTGCCTAAGGGGACAGAAATTAGCATGTACCTGCCACTGCAGAAGTGAAGTAAAATACTCACCTAGGAGGTGACCTCTCCAAGTCTAAAATTTTTCCCAGTGAAGAAGTGAGTAGACAGTGTCGCCAAATAAATGAGAGCCACAGATACAAATAGAAAGATTATAGATAATTTTTCGCTTAATATATAAAGAGCAACTTCTGTATACCAGCTTCTTGGCTAAACAATTTATCTGTATTTTTTTTTGTAAGTCTTCTAAAATTAGGCCATATTCTTAGTTTATAGATGAAGAAACAGGCTCAGAGAAGTTAAGCAACTTTCCAGAACACCCAAGTAAGTAATAAAGTCACAGTTCCAGCCCACTCCTCAGCTGTCATCCTTACAGCATGCTACTGAGCAGAGAAGTTCAGCCTCTCCTTGAATACTTCCAGTGACAAGAAACTCATCATCTACTCAGGCAGCTTCTTCCATTGTTGGATGGCTCTAATGGTCTAAATATTCTTTCCTCACATGTATCAGGCAGCCATCTTGCTCTTTAAAAGTCCGACAGGTCTTCCCTAGTCACTTGGAACAAGTCAGTGGGCTGTAGAAGGTACTCAAACTATAAAATTAGAAAGACCTGGCTCCATTCCTACCATTCCACCTATTAACCACGTTAACTCTCAACCAAGTCACTTCTGCCTCTGTGCCTGTTACTTCATCTGTACAATAGATACACAAATACATACCTCATGTAGTGTTTTGGAGAAGAAAAAATAAATAATATTTGCAAAGCTCGATGTCTGGAAAATAAAAATACTCAAAAAAATTATTTTATTAAGTTGGGTCCCTCTTCCCCCAACAGCCCAATGGACCGATCCCTTCTGCCTAAGACTTCTCTGAGCCAAACACCCACAGAGTCTTTAATTATTCCTTACAGGTCAATTTCAAGTTTGTTTACCAGCCCAATTGTTCCCTTTTGGACCTGCTCCAGCCTGTTAATGTCCCTCTTAAAATGCAGGACCTACAACTAAATATAATAAATTAGCCAAGATGTGAAGTACAGCCCACATCCGGTATTTCCTGCATTCCTGACTCTTTCAGTCTTCGGATTTTTCTAAGTTCTTAAGAATTATTAGGTTAAACTTAGGCTGGCATAAGATTTTAGTGCAGATTATTTGAACCTTATTTTTATTTGTAATAATTGCTAACATACTCAGTAGTTTCTCTGTGCCTGGCACTGCAGTTCTCACTTGATATGTATTTTCTTACTTAGCCAAACAATTATAGAAAGTATCCCTATTATTACCCTTATTTTACTGATAAGGAAACAAATTGAAAGTGTTAAGTGACTTGCCTAAGATCACACAGCTAATAAATCAGAACCCGCTAATAAACGGCAGAATCAGATTTGAGTCCACCATGTTATCCCACCCCCCATTTCGAGCATTTAGGGAATGCTTGCAAAATGTAAGTACTTTCAGGGATTTAAAAAAATGAATATGACACAGGCAGAAGACATATGCAGGGCAATTTAACAGAAAAGGAAATGCAAAGCACGAAGCAATGTTGGGCTTCTGAACAATCTGTCACTAAGAGCTCGCTTTCTCCCCTCCAGCACGTTCCAATGTCTACAATTTCATGGGCAATGTGAGTCAGTGGAGGAAAAGGGAAAAGGTGGAAGCAGTCACCTCTCTCCTTTTCAACTTTTACTTACTCACCGTTGACTTCAGCCCTTGCCCCTAGCACACTGCCTTATGAAGAATTAATTTTCAATGACAGCCAAGTTGCTGGTCCTGGGGGGTTGGAAGGGGCTCCTTTACTCTGCTATGGCCTTTCTGCCTCAGAAATATTTCTAGCTTTGACTCAGCAATTTTGCTTCTAGGACATGAACAGAGGTTTGTGACCAAGGGGGTTTTTCCAGCATAATTTATAATAGCTAAAAATTGAAAATAATATAAATGCCTATCAATTGTGGGAGAGCAAAATAAATACTAATTTTAAATGACTGCATATGCCAGCCACACACTGGCATATGCAGTCATTTAAAATTGTGTTTCTAAAGATTTAATAGCAATAGAAAATGCTCATTTAGAATCTTCAGTCAAAAATAAAGAGGAAACAACACTCATTATGATCTGTAGAGGAAAAAAACCTGGAAGAAATTTAGCAATATGTTAACAGTAGATATCTAGATAATGGGTTTTCTAGGTGGGTTTTCATTTTTTTCCTTGAACCTCATTGTATTTTCCCAATGTGCATTTTTTGCTTTAATCATCAGAGGAAAATGTTATTTTTTTAAGAGTTGAAAGAATCTGGTCTGAGGGCAACCAGCCAGCTTGTGAAAAAATAGTTTTTGCCACTGGACAGTTTCCATATGTGCAGCAGCAATTACTGCTCTGTTACCATCAGATCATCTTAATCCTATTGACTGAAATGCCAAAGTAATACTATTAATTTACTACATAACAGATAAATTACTAAGAGCATAGTAGAACTACCTGAGATTGCTGTGGTACTCTTCTAGGGTCAGAGTGGGTGGCCCTTCTAGATTCCAATATAAAGCACAAAAAGCTTCTGGAAGTTCATATATTCATCCCCCATCACAAAGCCTAGATCTGCCAACTCTCTTTGAATCAATAAAAATTGTATTGAACATTTACACTGTGCCACACACCAAAGTGAGCACTGTAAAAGAATGCTTATTCCTTACAACAAGCTTACGACCAACAACTACTATCACCCTCATTTTACAGATGCAGAAACAAAGATTTAGACAGAATAAGTAACTTGTCCAAGGCTGCACAGCTAGCAAAAGCCAGAGCCTGATTTGAGGCCAGAGTCCATGTGCTTAGCCCTGGAGCATGCCCTTTTTCAGCCAAAAAACAAGTTCTTATGCTTTCTTCCACATTATTTTAAATAGTAATTTAAAAGTTAGAGCAGGAGCTATCTACACGCTATGGATGAGGAAGCTGGTGGTTACGTGTAGTAAAGGACTTGCCCAAGATCATACAAGGAAGAATTGCAACAGATAGAAATCAAACCCAGAATCTCTGACTCCACATCCACAGCTTGTCGCATTTCCAAGGTTGCTTCTCTTTGCCTCTGAGACACGCAACAAGCAGCAGAAAGCAGTGGGACTCAGGATCCCGTTTGGTCCCCCTGTGTGTTAGAAAGGGGTGACCTGCTGGAGGATCTTGAAGGTACAGGGTAAAAAGGACAGAAATCCCAAGAAGAGAAGAAAACCTCAGCAACGACCCTAGAGCTCCTTTATCCTGAAAGGGTAAAGGGGCATTGGCCACAGAGCCTTGTTGTTTCTTCATCATCCATCACTCTTCCTTCCATCTCGTTAAGTCCCACAAGGTGTCAATGATACTTTTCCTGAATTCTCCTAAGTAAATATTCCTTCTAGAAGCTTATACTAAACCACAGAAGAGTAGAAACTTAAAACCATGCATATTTGAATTGAGTGAGCTGTTTTAGCAGATTTGAACAGCTGCTCCAAAACTTGCGCCAAAATTTCACCTCGATTAGATTTATGTATCAGCTCTGCCACTAAGTCACCTTGATTAAGTCAGTCAATCTCCCCAAGTCTCAGTTTTCTCATCTGAAAAATAGAAAAGAAAATGCTTGATGTTTCATAAAGTTGTTGGGAAGATTAGAAAGCCTGTATGGAACAGTTCTTAACTGTGGATGGCACCTAGAAAGCATTTGGTCATTGGTAGTAGCCTTTGCTATTCTCAGTTAATCTCTGAGTCAGTTTTCTTATCTATAAAATGGAGATGATAGTCTTGCAGGGGTATAATATACATTTATTAATTTATAGCAGGTGATCAATGAATGTCTTTTTTAATGCACAGGATGACTAGGTCTCGTAATTCTACGACTCTACTACTCACTTCTTGCCCAAGACTTTGGAACCTGCTGAGTGAAACAAAGAAGTTCCACCCCACTGAGCATAGCTGCAGCTCTGACTCTGTCTTAGAGGATTCAAGGGAATCAACAAAGGCTATTTAGAGAGCATTATTAGAGCCCTGGAGAGTCCCTAAAACTCTGTATTTACATGCAAATACCCACTTCAGCTAAACCCTATCAACTCACAGTTAAGTGCTCACTTTCTGAAGACCAGTCACTCCATTTATTAAAGGCAGCTTCAGGTTTTAATCCAAATTGCCCTTTCTACAATTTAAAATCATTTCTTCCTCAGTGCCTACTGAGGATTGTTTATTTTCTGAACATCCTCCTTTGAATCATAGTCTTTGGATACTTGAAGACCACACACATCCCAGCTCCACTCCTATGAAAACTCTGTTTTCTCTGGAATAAATACTATAGTTTTGCTGATGCATTTCCTATGGGTCCATTGCAGCTTGGCTTTTTTTTCCACTCTGAGATTGCACTAGTATAGACTTGGAAGGGAAAAGTGATATGTTTTTTCTAATGGCTTTGGACATTAAAGCACTTATTTGTTCTCACATAAGTTTTCCTCTACTAGTTTGAGAGCCCCTGGAAAGCAATGGCTATTGCACATTCATCATTAATATAGTTAAGAGAGAAGTTTGTAAGGTCAGGTGAACCTGGATAAATTATTTAATCTCTATGGACCTCACTTTTCTCATCAGAAAAACAGAGGTAATTACACCCCAACTCAAAGGGTTATTTTGAGGATTAAGTATTGTAAATAAAGCTTTTGGTGTAATGCCTGGTACAGTACTTCATAACCACTCAATAAGGGCTGGCTGTTATTATTTTATTTGTAACCTCCTCTAACACCTACTATAATCTCTGACAATATAATAGGCACTTCCTAATTATTTTAAGTAAATAAGTAAATGAAATAATAAACTAATGCTATCTAAAATGAGATTATCAGCATCTAAAAGTACCTAATGAATAAAGTTGACTAACCTGAGAAATGAAAGTTTATTTCCATAGCATCTGTAAAATTACTGTGATCCTTTGCCATTCTAAAGGCAGATAGTATTTTCAAGATGAGCTAACTGAGAAAAGGGTAAAACAAAAGGCAAGTTGACTACAGAGGAAGTGTGACAGAAATGATGTAATAAACAGTCAAGAAGGTATTGTCCGTACCGTGATTGGTTCTGGGGAATGGCCAAAGAGTCAAGCAGAAGATAACCCAGATCAGACCTGGAGCGCTCCAGTTATGTTATGGTTCTACCATCTGAGACTGAGCAGGCCTCCTACCTTTCAATCGAGCCTCAGTGTCATCACCTGGACATGGAGATGTTGTCACAGCGCTGGTATGAGGATCAAATGTAGTGATGGATTTAGAAGTGCCATAAAAACTGAAAGTGTTACATGTGTGCAAACGATTATCAATTACATTGTTCCCAACCTATATTTTCCAATTCCCGGAGCTCCAAAATTCTCAGTTATAATTCCAGAGTTATGGGGAAACATTTATATCACGAACCAGAGAGGCTTCTCAGAGGGACTCTGCAAATCACTATCACTTGGAAGAGTCAATAAATTATAGTGATTAATACCATGGGCTTCAGAGACCAGTTGTCTCATGGGGCTACCACTTACAAACTGCATAACCTCAGGTAAATTTTCTGAAAATGAAAGTGTCAGCTTCCTCATCTATAAAATGGGGATAATGATGTCATCTTCATGGTATTGAGAAGATTAAATCCAGTGAAATATGTAAAGTATCATGAATGATAGCCATTACTGTCATTAGCTAATATCATGTCTTCATCTGTTTTTATCCTACTGCTATGTCTCCTCAATATCTATACTCCCAGGCCTTTGCAAACTCAAATGACCAATGCCTGCTGATTAATGCAATCTTTTTCCCCAAAACTTTCTGTCCAAAAGCCTGGGCTCCATTCTCTGCAAAGACACATTTCTCCAGTGAGATTTATCTGATTAAAAAGAAAGCTGCATTGAAGGTAATGAGAGCCATTTGCTCTTCTGTCCAACTCGTGGGATGCATGCTGATTATGTAGGGCCTTCTAAGAGCTTTCCCTCAGTCAGAGTAAACCCCATAGGCTTGTTCTTCAACACTCAAGCCTCTGAAGAATCCCCCTGGATTCTTCACACTGTAACTCATCTGAGGGCCACTTGATGCCCCCATGCTTAAGCCAAGCATTCTTTCACCGTAGGACCAGACTGCAGAATAACACTGAAGGTCAGAGGCATGGGAAAATTTTCCCAAGTGAGACATATACACACAGTTAGGGCAAAGTGAGATGGTTGTGGTAGCATTATAAATAAGGACATAAGGAAGCAGGAATGTGGGGTTTATGCGCAAACATAGGTTTGACCTAGGCCAGTGGTCCAAGACATTTCGTGTGAATACCACTGAAAGAAATGACTTTTTCTCTTATTTTTCTGCCTTGTATTTTCCCTGAAGACATTAAATATTTTCCCCAGGGGCTGACTAAGAGTATCAGAGCCAGAGTTTAGGACTCTTTGGACTCCAGTCAAATCATATCACTGATGCCAAATAATGCTGCACAGCTAAATTAAGCTTCCTCTGGAATTTCGGGTATATATCATCCATTTAACAAATATTTACTGAGCTCTGACTATGTGCCAGGCTCTGTACTTCATGAAAACCATGTTTATTAAGAGGCTGAAAAGACGTTTGTGAAAATCATGTTTTCAGGGTTTTGTCTATATAACACCTTGATGGCCCCAATTCTGAGAAAAAGGAAGGTTACAGAGCTGAAAGTTTGGCTTGAAACAGAAAAGACCAGGACTGTCATGACTTCAGCCTTCACACATGCACCTGGAGTAAGGAGAAGGAAGATGAGAAAAAGAAAACGTCAATATAATGTAAGCAAATACAGTGTGGAATGCCAGAATTGGACAGATCAAGTCACAAGCCACAAAATTGATTAAGCCTCAGTTTTCTCACCTGTAAAATGGAGACAGGCATCCCTACCTCTCAGGCTATTTGGGGGATAAAATGAGATAAAATATGTAATGTGCAATTCAGAGTCCACATTAGGAACAGCAGGTGCTCAATTAATGTCATTTCTTGCCACCAAACAAGAAAAACAAAAAAGCTTTTTAAAAATAAAGCAGGATGCTGTAAGAGGTAAAGACCCCCTCATCGGGCAAATAGATTTGATCATCTACAGGAAATCCCACCCTGTAGACCAAGCTCCGGGATTTAGGATGTTGTAGCAGGGCCAGGACTAGAGTGAAGCAGGTGAGGCACAAAATTTAATGAGGTGCTCACTCTCTGGTCCCTGCAAGTGCAGGGTTGGCATTTATGCAACCCTGGGATTGAGTGCCTCCTTAAATTTTACTAGGTACCTCATTCTTCTTTCTCTAGGTGGCCCTACTTTGTGGGGATACATACGATAAGGCAGGAGAGTTAGTGGATGGAAGGCTATCCAGAGGAAAACATGGAAACTGATGCTACAGAGTATATGGGATCCCTAGAGGACCAGACTTCCTTAGGGTCAGAGGCAGAACCAGATGAGATTTTAAGGTTTAGTCCAGCTCCAAGAATCCAGGATTTTACCTTGCTACAAGAAGAAAATCATGTTCAAATACATGTGCTTCTTATTCAGATAAGCGTTCCCTATAGGAAGCAGTCATAACTGTGGGAGGTAGGACAGGAAGGGGGAGGGGTGTCTTGTTCCATAAGACCCTGAGGTGAATTGGGCTCAGGGCATGCCAACTGTGACATTCTGTTCCCAGGGGTGCTTAGCAGATCATGAAGTGACAGTGACAGTAATAAAATGTCAAGCACTCCCTGGCCAGCCTAAGCCCCTTACTGCAATCAAATAAAATCAGAATTGCACAGCTGGCTGCGGGAAGCCAGATGCTGACCTGATGATCCAACTCAGACAAAGCTGAGGGTGACCAGCAGGGCCCAGGCTGCACAACAATCCCCAAGTCCCTTGGGGTCAGAGCCGGGGATGGGAAACTGGCTCAGCCTAGAAAGCCAAGAGTGCCAGCCCAGCTCAGCCCCACCTCTTCCCAGAAGCCCAGGACACCCACCACTCCTCACCATCCACCATTTCTTTTTCATTTAGAAAAAGACCAGCCCACAGGCAATGGGGCAGGAGAAAGCTTTCTCCCCTGAATACACAATTTGAAAATGGCAAATATTGGGTCTTTCTAAAAGCACACAGAGGCTACAATTAATAAAACTCAGACAATTTCTGATTAATCCCCGCCTTCCCCTCAAATACTGCCTTCCACCACTGAGCCACCATAGCAGTCCAATTTTGCCACCTAAGCAGAGTGGCAGCCTCTTATAATTTCTTAAGTACCTAAACTATTCTATCTACTGGACAGTAAATAATTAGAGGGCAAAGGCCAGTCAAATCGAATTTTTAATTACTACTACATGCCAGGCACTGAACAAGACAGAGCCTACCCACAAGTATTTCATCCTCATTTCTCATCATTTCCCATTCTCTTCTCTCCCTCCCTCCTTCATACACACACTAAACTCTTCTTTTGGTTCTCCAAGTTGTCTATCACTTCTAAACTACACATGCTGTTCCTTCTACCTCAAACACTCTTCCTCCTATATTTTTCCAGGCCAACTCCATATCTAACCTTCAAGTTTTATTTAAAAAGTCATTTTCTCCACAAAGCCTCTTGGAGACTTCTCATCCTCTCACCAAGTGTAGTTGGGTACCTGTCCACTGTACTCGCTGAATTCCTCAATTATAGTGCTGACTGTGCCTCAAACTCCTTCGTTTTTACAGTGTCCTCTTCCTCTTTCACCTCCCACCTCCCTGTCTTCAATCTGCACCTCCAAGTTCCTCCTCCAGCTGTATAGGTCCTTCCTTTGGTTACTCTCAGCCTCTTAGTCCCTCTTCTGCCCCCTCCTTGTCTTTCCTCCCCCTTTTCCATCCTGACCTCCTGGACTTCTCTGCTCATGGTAAACTGGAGAGGGAATTGACTGGAGGGATCCCCTCTGCTGACCCAGAGTGGTTCTTGGGGGTGTGGTGCCATGCAAAATGTAGTTGAAATTGTTTCTCCCCAGTCTTACTGCAACCCTAGCTCATCTGTAATTCAGATTGACAGCTTTATATTGATTCCCTATTTCAATTGATGTTGCAACTGGAGAATGAGAATCTGAACATTGATCTGGCCTTTCTCCCAAGTAAACCTTGAGAAACAGGTTGGCCCCTTGGAGAAAAAAATCTTGAGACTAGGTGAGGAAGAACCAAGACACAAAATCCCATTCCTCCAAAAAAGTCCAGACAAATCTGGATCCCGAGACCAGTGTATGAAAAAAAAAAAAGAAGGAATATTATAGACTCATAAAATGATGGCTGAGGGCTGGAAGGGCTCTTAGAGATCATCTTAATTTCATTGTGTAACTGGGGAAACTGAAAGCCAACAAGGGAAGTGACTCACTGAAGGTCACACAGCCCCTACTTCATTATATCACCCTGCCTCCAACCCCTCTGTTGAACTCTACTCCTGGAGCTTTGCATGGTCTCTGTCATTAGAAGTAACATCTGAGGTCCTTTAAGTACCAAAATCTCTTAGTGTGACAAATCCCCTGACCAAAAGGTGGTGGACAGTCTAGTGCATGCTCTAATCCCCACATACATCCATAAACATCCATCTATTTGTATACATAACATACATAATACATCATACCTAGAAACCTACTCACATCACACAAACTCACCTACATCCATAGACACTCACAAAGAAACTAAAATATATTTGTTCCTCATCCTGTCCACCAAAACTAGCTCTTCAGGATGTAAGGATCTTCAGATTATTATGCAAGAGTGTCTAAATAGTCCTAGAATACCCTATGAATCTTCAAAGCAATGCCAGATTGCTTTCAGTATTTTTCATTTCTGTGTATAATAGTCTAATACTTTGTATAGTCAGTGCATCTATTGCAATAAGCCTTCTCAGTAAGGAATAGAAAACTTGGTCTCAGAAGACCTCACTCTCTTTCTGAAAATTACCATTAATCAAATCTGCCTAAACTGAGTCTGATTCACCCATTGTATTTTAGTAATCTCTGAAAAAAAAAAACTGCATCATTTCCAAATACTGTTATAAGGTTCAGAAAATTTTAACAATTGAGTGTTTCATTTCTCAGATTCATTCCCAGCTCCTCTGTCCAGCAGCTCATGGTCTATAAGCAAATGCTTAAGTTAACCGGGAATTGTGGTACTAAAAGAGCTCCCCGATGCATATCTACTCTACACAGATGCACAGCACATCAGATTCACCAGGGTGGAGAGGGGGAGTTTTGAATAATCCTGTGCAAATTGTACTGTCTAAATATAGACAGAAATGTACAAGGATTATCAAGTGGAGGGAGGCATAGCTACTTTGGCATTAATATGGAGCCTTTGTATTTGGAAAAGAGTTGGGAACTTTTGGCCTAGAGCACAGTGAGGGAGGGGGAGGATTTTAAGTGACTGACATAATAACAATAAATCATTATTGAACCAATTCTCTTCCAATCTTTCTTATTAACTCCAGGAGTCTCGTTAGGTGTTAATATGCCTCTAACGCCTGTCCAACACTTGCTGCACTTCCTTTGTAACTTAGAGCAGGCCTTGGGCTCAGAACATTGGCAAGCAGCAGATCACTAGAATTGTAAACTCTTCTCTTTTTGTCTTGTTGTCATTGTATTTGCTATTATGGTTCTCTTCCATTATGGCAAGTAATATTAGTTTTCTATTTGTGAGTAGTGAAATATAGTTTCCTTTTAAATAAGTTTAAGTTTAAAAGAAGTGAGACAATTTAATGAAAATAATTAAGTGACTAATAGAGGTGGTGAACAAACGGCAAAAATTGTGAAAGTGATATCAGGAAACAGCTGGTAAATAACATATGGGAGAGGCTGGACTAGAGATTTTCAAAATATGCATAGTGAATCACTTGACAAAACAGAGGATTACCGGGTAGTTCACAACTATTTCTTCTTCATTTTTAAGTGTGGTAAATTCAGAGCAGTGTATATACAGATTGCTAGAATTCAGACATGTTTTGACTTGCTTGGATAGAAGAGGGTAGAACAAGCTTCAGAAATAAATCATAATAATAGCATAACTATCATGATTTTATACTCTTCACAATTCACAAAGACTTTCCCTTACGTTGTAGCATTTGGATGAGTCAACACTTGAAAATGTAAGTTCTAATTCCTTCTCTCTTTAAAGTGCTGTGTGACTTGGAGCCAGTTACTTGACCCCCTGGGGTCTTCATTCCCTCCACTTCGGCTCAGTGCCAAGGTTTTAAGTGAGCCAGTGGCTGGGTGACCAGACTGCAAATACCTTACTGCAGACATGCAAGTTAGAATAACCAGAAGACTCTTCAGCTTTGGGGAGGGTTCTGGTATTAAATGGCATGTTATGCTAATACCAAATGGTATGGGATGATGTGGGGAGAATTCATTCTCCCACTGTACTGCCCAATAGGATTCAGGCTTATGAGAGAGGCCTAAGGGCGAAGAGATCGCTTGTGCTCCAGCAACTGCTGGGAGGGAGTACTATGTTCCCAAATCTTATTATCAGAGAGGAGGGGCTGGAGAGAGTACGGGAGCTTATGAAAGCTTCGTAACTGCCACTCCTAGAGAGGTTCTAGAAGTGAACTATAACAGCAGAAAAGTCATAAATCACTAGTTGCGTGCCTGTGGTCCCCTCTGCCCACACCAGAGCCACACAGCAGCCATGAGTCCAGTGCTGAATGGACAGTGGCCCCAACTGTGGGCCATGGGAAGCACCTGGGAGGGTTTTCCAGCCATGTGGGCTCCATGGTGCAGCTGAAAGCATTGTGAGACAAGGAGCAGCCCCAGACCCACTCTGAACTGCTTCAAACACACACACACACACACACACACACACACACACAGACACACACACACCATGCTGCAAGAGAAAAACAATGTATTGAGTGCTTGCTATGTTCTAAGAACAGTCCTAGGTATTTTTAACTATGCTACCTCAGTTATTCCTTACCTCATTTGACAGGTAAGAAAACTAAAGCTCAGACAAGTTAAGTAACTTTCCCAAGGTGACACAGCTAATAAATGACTAAGACAGGATGAATTCCAAATCATCTGTTCTTTTCACTCTTTTGCACTATTCTATATTATATTTCACAGTACATTTCAAAAACAAACACATGCAATATACACATCACAGACATACATCTACAGAAGCATTTTACACATCCACACCCTATACCCCATGTATATATACAGCTCACATACACACACATCTCACATATACACACACAAAATGCCCATATTAAATGCCACACTTGAAATACATACACATGAACACAGAAATTCACATTTTGTACATACAAACCTATGTGACCCAATTCACTATGCATCTGCAAACACCTCCATGCACACTCTAATCCCCATATATATCCATACACATCCATCCATCTGTATACATAACACATCTATACAATCATACCTAGAAACCCACCCACATCACACAAACTCACCTACATCATAGACACACACAAAGAAACTAAAGTGCATTTGTTCCTCACCCTGTCCATCAAAATTAGTTCCCCAGGATATGAGTAAGGATCTTCAGATTATTAAGCAACAGTGTCTAAATAGTCCTAGAATACCCTCCGAATCTTCAAAGCAATACCAGATGGCTTTCAGTATTTTCCATTACTGTGTATAATTGTCTAATTATTTTTAAATTGTTAATCCATGTATAAATATTTATGAACACTTTTTACTAGCCAGGATATTTGATTAATTAAAGTAGCACATTATTCATTCATTCATTCACTGTGCAATTACTGAGCACCAATTATGTATGAGACACCATGGTAGACACAGTGGGGAATGAAAGAACAAACAAACAAATAATAAATAAAACCACCATGATTCCTGCTCTTAAAACACAAACACAGATAACTACATCAGCACCTGGTGAGTGAGTTTATGGGGGGTAGTGGGGTGGAGGAGCAAGAAGACAAGATGGCTCTGAGGCGTCTAATCCTAGAGAGTGGAAGTATATTGACGTCATCTGGGGAAACTGATCTGGAGGAGCAAGTCTAGGAAGGAAGCTGTAGTGTTCAGTTTGGGAGATGAATTTGAGACACTGGCAGAACATTGAGATAAATGCATCCCACAAATGTTTGCAAATGAGGAAGGGGGTTTTAAGGAAGAGGCCAGGGTGGTGACAGATTTGAGAGTCATCCATTATTAACTGATTGCTTAAATAGTTACAACTGATGAGACCAGAAAAGAAGCTGAGAGGAAGAACAAGACAGGTTGGGTACAAATCCTTGGGGAACATTATGCGCTGCATGACTAGGTGACAGAAGGTTCCACCTTACACACACACACACACGCACACACACATACATTCATATCTCTATGCATTTCCTCCAACATCCCAGCCCCACAAGCACATGTCAGTGCTGCTTATGGCTCCTAACTATCTCCTGGATATAATTTCAGTACTAGGAAAGCTCAGTTGCCCAAAGCAACCCAAAATTAGTGTTCTTCAACCTTTGAGCCTCTAACATTGACTCTTATTGAAATCTATATGCTTTAAGAGTTTGGTGTGGCAATTCCTCAAAGATCTAGAACCAGAAATACCATTTGACCCAGCAATCCCATTACTGAATATATACCCAAAGGATTATAAATCATTCTACTATAAAGATACATGCACATGTATGTTTATTGCAGCACTGTTTACAATAGCAAAGACTTGGAACCAACACAAATGTCCATCAATGATAGACTGGATAAAGAAAATGTGGCACATATACACCATGGAATACTATGCAGCCATAAAAAAGAATGAGTTCATGTCCTTTGCAGGGACATGGATGAAGCTGGAAGCCATCATTCTCAGCAAAGTAACACAGGAACAGAAAACCAAACACTGCATGTTCTCACTCATAAGTGGGAGTTGAACAATAAGAACATGTGGACACAGGGAGGGGAACATCACACAACAGGGCCTGTCGGGTAGTGGGGGGCAAGGCGAGGGAGAGCATTAGGACAAATATCTAATGCAAGAGGGGCTTAAAACCTAGATGACAAGTTGATAGGTGCAGCAAACCACCATGGCACATGTATACCTATGTAACAAACCTGCACATTCTGCACATGTATCCCAGAACTAAAATGAAAGAAAGAAAGAAAGAAAGAAAGAAAGAAAGAAAGAAAGAAAGAAAGAAAGAAAGAAAGAAAGAAAGAAAGAAAGTTGGGCAGAGGGAGGGTCATGTTCTTAATACATGAGTAATTCATACTGTGGTGTGAATGGGGCCTTAAAGCCACTTTGTTGAATGGGTGTGGGGTGGGAGAGGGGTGACAGAAACAGTGTAATGCATCCCTGTTTGACTTCTAATCACCTAACTCTCGATACAGTGAAATAAGCCACTACTGATTTACTCTGGGTCCTATGTCAGTCCCTTCTGCTAACTGGGCCTCAATTTCCCAAGTGAGATTTTGTGAAGTATATGTTTCTTGAGACAGTGATCCCATAAGTACAAGCATATAAGCTTGTCAAAGCTTCTGAGGAGACTTGAGGTAAAAATGCCTGATAAAATTTGTGTTCCAGAATGCATCTGACTTTAGCAACTTTTTAAAAAACTGTGACTCTGATTCTGAAAATAAACCTTGAGGAAATGGCAAATTATTTTATCTCTAACATCCTTTCTGTCCGTGTGGCTCCATGGACCTGTGAGAGTGCAGTTGCCCAACACAAGGTTAGGTCTACCAAAAGACTAACCCTCCAATCTTCTCTCCCAGGGACACCCAGCTGCCAAGTGTGATTACTCAAAATCCCAGAGATGAAGCCTTAAAAATGTCCGTGACTTCTCAGCATCAATCAGACACTTGGCTGCCTGCCAGGATCCCATGCCGGCTGATATTTGGGCTGGGTAAACAATTTAACCTGGGCCTTACCTCATTAAGGACCCATATTACCCATATTACTCCAGCTAAGAACACTCTTGTGGTTCTACAGAGGTTGGACAAGGCTGGGATCTGATCACAGCATGAGAAAGAGCCATCATTAACCTTTTGCTCTCCTCTCTTCCTCCTTAGCCTTGCTGCTTCTAAGGAGGCTGAAGCTGCTCGCTCCGCACCCAAGCCTATGTCACCCTCGGATTTCCTGGATAAGCTAATGGGGAGAACCTCCGGATATGATGCCAGGATCAGGCCCAATTTTAAAGGTAGAGAAAATATTCCTTCCAGACCCACAGGGAAATGCTTTCCCAGATTAAAGCAGCAAGCAGCATGGTAATGCACGCAGATGGTAAATACGCAGTGTGAATCCCATGACTCTTTCCTCTACCCAAGGCAGACATTCTTAATCAATTCAGTCTTCTCTCCCACCAAGCCCAGACAAAGCCTCAGAGGATGCAATTTAACAGCACCTCTGGTTTCCAGGAGTCCAAAAGTGAATTAAAAACTATTTGCTACTTCTTGTATGATGGGAAGAAGGATAAACATGGAACGTGGAGAAATGGGTTCAAGTTTGGGCTCAGGCACAAACTTACTCTCTGAGCTTAGATGATGAGTCTCTCCCTTTCTTTGGGCCTCTGTTTCTTCATCTGTATAGTAATGGGCTTGGCAACTTTGGCAGCTTTTAAACATACGCTTCACGGAGCTTTCAGGCTTCCAGCAGGTGCCCCCAAAGGAGAAGCAGAGGGCATGATGAGCAAGCCCACCCTGCTCCTCCCCAAACAGCTCCACTTTTATTTTCAATAATGGGCTCCCAACTAAAATTCTTCAGCTGAAAGTTTCCCACGGGCTAACAAATAATTTTGAAAAATTTTGGTCTAAATCAGAGTCATAATTTCAAATGCCTACCAGGGTTGGGTAGATAACTTAAATCAGTGAGGCAAACCAAGAGTAAGACAGTAGGGAGTGGTAGAGACTATGAAGAAATAGAGGTACAGGCTCCTCTACAGGGGCAGCCTCTTCTTAGCCCCAGCCTGTAGTTGCCCTGCAGAAATGTAGGCCCCATGTTTCCAGAGCATCAAGTATTCCAAGAAGAGCCAGATACCGAGATCTATGTGAGACTTCCTAATTCCTAAAACATGTAAATTCAAATAAAACATGTTTGTGACCCACATATGCCCTGTGGGTTGCCAATTTACAAACTCTACTCCAGATGACCTGAAAAGGTTCTTTTACCTCTCATAACCCTATGGGAACTTAGTGTCTATAACCAAGAGACTAGTTCCCTTTGTTTACTGACGCCTCAGGAGGTTGCAGCCATCTCAAACTGCCGAGCAGAGCCCTGCAGGTGCAGTCTTAAGGACCTCCTTCGGAGCCTATGCACTCTGACCTTCCTCCCAGCATCCTTGCAAAAATCTTATTCCAAGGACCTGCAGCCAGCCTCCTAGACAAGCCTTGATTTCAGGTGCCCTTCCTCACTGTTCCTTTGGCTCAAGTTCAAGACTAAACAAGGCATGTGACAGCTGGTAACAGCTTCCTAATATTTGCTCACTTTGCCCCCTGCTCTCAAGTCCCCTTCTCAGAGTGCTTGCTCCGCACAGCTCTGCAAATAGAAAATGTTCTGAGAGATGCACCCAGGTCTCTGTTTGGGCCCACTCTCCCCATTTACCTTGAGGCTCCTTCACTCCCCCTGCACCTTGTTCCTGAGGCCATAGCTTCCAGCATTGTTAACATAACCCCCAGGATAGGTAAGTCAATAACAAGGTTGCTGTCCCAGCACACTCAGCTCAAGCCTTCACCAGGGTCACAACCTCTAATACCTAGAGGGGCAAGACAACTATAGTATATGAATGAAGCAGGGTGGAGATAAGAAAATAAAACCAGAGAACATAGGGCTTATCTAAGGGCAGCCACTTCTCAGCTCTTGTTGATGGCTGTTAGGCAGGAATGCAGACCCTGTTCAGCCAGGCCATCCAAGACAAGACTTAAGTCTGAGGTTTTATCTGAAATCTTGCAAATTGACAACTAAATCACCTCTTTTAAAAACACTGTTGGCCAAATCAAACACTTCCAGGAACTGGTTAGGGCCCTTGGCAACCAGGTTGCATCCTCTGTCCCTCTCTGCTTTTAGGAATTCCAGTCCACCACGCCCCTTGGTGGGCTCTCTCAGAACTCCATCCTGAGTGGAGGGGCCATGGTCTTGCTCTGAGAAACGAGGAACTCATTCGTTTGTTGAATGTGGGTGCATCCAGGGTTTATGTGTTAGTTATTCTTTGTGCATACCACTGTACTTGACACATAGAAAAGCCCCAGTAAACCTTCATAAATGAATGAATAAATAAATGACCCCACAAATATGCTAGGGCTTAGAGCAGTTAAGTGACTTTTTCAAGTCATGCTGTCAAAACCAGAGACTTTAACCCAGTTACTCTAACTTAATTCTTTGTCTAATAATAGTGATTTATTTATTTGTTCATTTATTTATTTACTTACTCAGCAGTGGGCATTTTTAAGAAATAAAATTTTATCCTGACCACTGAATCAAGGTCCGTCCAACCTTCCCACTCTGAGAAGCTTACTCGGAACACTTGGGCCCAATATCTACAGAACTAGTTCATCTTTTAGGCCCGTCCCAACCCTGCAACTAGCCTTAACTCCCTCGACCCCCACCTGACTGAGAATGAGGTGCAGCTTCCTGGAGCCCCACCGCAGGAGCTGAGAAGTTTTCTCTGCCCTCCTTTGTACTGAGGCCTGAAAAATTGCTGAGAGGATTTTCTTGCCCTGAGCCCTTTGATGCCTTTCCTGCTTCCACCGACACAAATCAGATTCCCTAAAACCCCATACAAACCATAGAGCTCCTGAAAAGGCCATTGAGGATCAGGGCCCCTATGACTCCAACATGATAGAAAGAGGTCTGCATTGTTTAAAACCTCTACGGAGGGATCCATCACTCAGCAGCTGCCTTAGGTGCTAGAAATTTTCCCTGCTCCTGACCCTCGTGAAAACACAGGTAGCCAGGAATGGCAAGCACAGTCTGCAGAGTACAATGGCAAAGAAACTGTGAGGTAGAAGTAAAGGGCACTAAAACAGCATTCCAGTCCTCCCTCTACTTACCTGACAGGCATGACCCCAAATGAGTCACTTACTGTATCTCAGCCTCTGTTTCTGCATCTGTAAAATGATCCAGCAGGACTAGGCCATTCCAGCTCTGTTATTCTGTGTCTTCTTTATGACTTTGTGTATTATAATGGCTCCTAGGATTAGGGGCACAGCCCAATGCAAATACATACAAAAAAGCAAAATTAAACTTTAACATTTAGTGAAATATATACATTATCCTGCTGCCAAAGGCAGCTAAATTGTAATTTTCTCAAAGATAATTTAATTTCAGATTTATTTCAATGAACCGCACCTTCCCATAGGATCCTTTTGGCCAGTGTCCTCTCGCACACATAAATCAGAAACTAATTTATATGGGAGTCACAGTGCCAGACACTTGCAGGGACTGGGTGGGAACTCTGTGCACATCATTTCAAGGCATAGGCAGTAACTCCTTGGGGTATCTTAATGGCATGAGGCAACAACAAAAAAAACCTGGTCTGAGTCTAAATAAAGGAGAAAAATCCTGACCATTCAAGTTTTTTCCACCTGAGCTTTATTTAGGTGGAAGTGACAAGGAGGCAGACTTCCACTCAACACAAGGACAAAAAAATTTAGCAGACAGAGCTATCCAACTATGGAAAGGGCTGCTTAAGACAAAATGAGTTTCCCACTGCTGGAAGTATTCAGGCACTCAGCCTTGAATGGGTAGCTGGTCTACAGCAGTGGTCCCCAAACCTGGCTGTGCATGAGACTCACCCAGGTAGCTCTCTGAACACTAGACTCTTGGGCTAACCTCCAGAGATTTGGTTTTACTTAGTGTGGGGTTGGGCCAAAGAATCTGTAGTTTAACAGGTTCCCAGATGATTCTTCTGCAGATAACCCTGTCTGCACTTCAGTTTGGGAAGAAATTGATGAGGTGACCTTTAAGAAACCTTCCAGCCCTAAAATCTTACAACCCTGAAATGTAAATGGATAGCTTCCATAAAGGAATTCCAAACCACTGAAGCTGAGAATGACCGCCTAGATCAAGAGCTACTTACTCTCTCTCCAGATTGATGAGGAAATTGAGGCCCAGGACAGAGAAAAGGCATGGCCGAGGTAAACAACCAGTGAGTGCTGGAGTTATGTCCAAAACCCAGAAATCCTGATAATCCCTTGAAGGAAAAACCTAGTTTCTCATCCCAAGACTGAGTCCCCTCCTATATGCCAAGACTTCTGATCCTAGCTTAGTTTGAGCAAAATGCTTGGGCTACTTTTTCAAGAGGGACAGAATGCAATGGGTGCCAGAGGGCATAAGGACATATCTACTTTCTTCTTTCCACAATCAGAAAACTTTGGTTCAAGTCCTGGTTCTACCACTTGTTAGTTGAATGAGCCTAGGTGAGTTACTAAAACTCTTGGTGCTACCTTTGTCAAGTAGGAACAAGAATTCTGCCCTGTCTACCTCAGTACCTCATAGGAATCAAGAAAGTGGACCTGAAAAGCAAATCACAAATTGCAAATTACAATCTTTATGTGAAGGGCTGTGACCATTTATCCAAGTCCTATTCACCTTCAAAGTCATCTCCAGGCCACCACCTTTCTGAGGTCTTTCGTGCCTTATTCTCCAGAACTTCTCTCACCTGGACTCCTGCTGCTTTTACCACTCTTACCCATGGTCTTGCATTTCTCTTTGGTTATTTTATGTCAGCCCTTTTTGTCAGCTTATTTGGAAACCCAGTGCTGAAAATTCTGGACTCTGCCACTGTCTGTGTGATCGTGAGCATGCCCCTTCCTTCCTCTAAACCTGTTTCCTACAGAATAGCCATTAAGATGAGCACCCTTGGAGTTAGACAAATCTGAACTCAAACTCTGACTCACCCATTTACTAGTTATGTAGGCATGAACAAATAGCTTCTCTGAGCCTCTGTTTTCTCTCCTGTAAAATGAAGGTAATAACCATACCTTCTCCTGGAGTTGTTGAAATGATGAAATGAAATGATGTTAATAATACTCTCAGCACAGCAGGAACCCCCGTAATGTTTAGTAAATGGCAACTGCTATAATTAATACTATAAAGTGAAGAGATTGGGCTTCAATGAGACAACATCTCCTCTAGGAATGAGACAGCAAACCAGTGAATAATCCTCCATTTCTTTCCTACGCTTTGCAGTAGGATTCAAAAGACTTGCTCAGAAAGTATTTAACAAAGTCTGTGGACTTCCCCTGAGGTTCCTTCTGGATTCCTCAGCTGGTAATTCCCATCAATGCCTTTCAGACAATCATTCTTGGTTCATAAGTTGAAGGCAAGGAGCTTGCTGTTCCTTGTAATTCCCAAGATGGCCTCCAAATGTTGTAGACATAAATATATTTCAGCCACTAATTTGTGGCTGAAAGGCAGCCAATGGGACTTGGGGAAGGAATTTCAACCATATGGCGGCTGATGAATCATCCTGTGTTAATGAAAGTACATCTCAGCTCAGCCTCTGGTATTCTGTACCTGGTGCTCACTTGGGGACCAGGAAGTCTGGCATAGAGATGTTAAATGGTGGCTGGGAATCCCAGGTGCTTGGGGGTGGGGTGGAGAGCAAGCAAGGATCTCCTCCACCAAAGGCGATCCATTCCAGAAGTCAGTGTTCTGGGAATGAGTCCTACCCTGTGGGTTCTTCCATGGCCTTGGGGCTAAGCAGGAATCTCTCTTGATTGGCAGGTCCCCCAGTGAACGTGAGCTGCAACATTTTCATCAACAGCTTTGGTTCCATTGCTGAGACAACCATGGTGAGTAAGTCAAAACACAAGCTGTTAGTTCCTGCTGGAGATATCTCTCCATGAAATATTTATCCTCTGCATTGGTCTCCACCAAGGAAGTGGGGAATCAGCTGGGTTTTTCTCAAGTCTCCAGTGGTATACCATGAGGCTCGGATGTCTTTACTGTCACATTAAATGTTTTGAGTGAATACATAATATCTGAAAATAGCCAAAGACCTAGCAGGGCAAGCACCTGCCAAACACCCAGGATTACAAAAACAAAATTATACAACAAGTCAAATTTTTAGAGTAAAAGAAAATGTGAAGACCTGTTTTTAAGTTTAACATTCAACTGCAGAATGGCAGAAGACTGCTGGTTATACAAGCTGAAATGGGTATATTGGGTTAATTGTATATTTCCTCTACTGTTGAATACATTTAAAACTTTTCACAGTAAAAAAGTTTAGAATGAATCTATTACACTAGAAGAAATGCCTAGGAAAAAAAATACCAAAATTGTAAGAATGATTATCTCTGAATTAAAAAGTTATGAATAATTTTTATTTTCTTCCTACAGTATTTATATATTTTTCAAATTTCTGCAAGGGGTGAATATTATATTAGTAATTATGAATAAGTGTAATGATATTTTAAAACTTTTCTCAGACTTTTTGTTTTTGTTTTTTCAACAGAAAAATCAATTGTACTTATGTTAAGGAAGTGATCTAGCTTGTGAAAAAAAATAATCAGGGCAGCCTAAAGTTAACTCTAATCTATCCATTTCGGAACATCCACCCGCCCCTAATCTAGTTCAGGCTTCCATCATGGCTGGCTTACATGACTGCAAAGGGTTCTCGTTGGCTTCCAACTTGCCCCCTTCCAGTCTACTTTATCCCACACTAGCCTTTCCAAAACACAAATCTAACCACGTCACTGCTCCTATTTAAACACTTCCTATGGCTCCCCATCACCCTCAGCATTAAACCCAAGTTCTTTTGCAAAGCTGAGGAGGCTCCCTGTGATTCACCCTGCTTCATTTCCTCCCTCTCCCACTGCATACTCTAGCTGCACCGATTGCTTACAGCTCTCCAGCCAGGTCGTCTCTCGCTCTCTGCTTTACAGGCTTCTGGTGGTGGCTGCTAGGCCACTGCCCAGAGCACCCACTCCAGCCTCCTTTCCCTTGCCAATTCCTATTCTCCTTTAAGACTCAGCTTAGAATTATTTCCATAGAAAGCCTCCCCACTGTAACATGCGCGTACGTGTGTGTGAGTTCACGTGTGCCCTTCACCCAAGGCTGGGATGGGTCCCTTCTGTCCATTCTCATAATACATTTTACAGTTTCCACAACAGCACTTGTCACTTACAATTACCACTGTACCAACCTGCTTATGTGTCCCTCCTGTCACTATACTGTAAGTTCCTTGGGGGCTGGTATCTTGTTTCATTTCCTGTGGGAACCCCAGCAGCTAGCACAGTGATTCAATAACAGATACTCAACAGTTTTTTAAATAAATAAACCAAATCAATTATATTGCTTATCAATTAAAACCAGTATTTGGTCCTAAGCATTTATGGAGATTACATCCAACCTTTCAGTCCCAGGCTGGCAGAAATCACTGAGTTCAGTAGGTGAGGTGGCCTGTCTTGATATGGTCACGAAGACTGTTCCCACATTCAAAGGACAACTGGTGAAACTCCCTAAAGTAACAGGCCTCTTATCTCCAAATGGAGATGGTCCCACTTGTTAGCTAGGAACAAACATGGGTGCTTTTCACTGGATATCCAGGTCAAATAAATAGCCAAGTTTTTTTCACCTTTGAATGGATGTCTTACAAGCACTCTTAATGAGCCCCTCTGCTTTTCTTCCCCTCCTCTGAGATCAGAAGCATATTGACATTTGTATTAATCATAATCTGTACAGTGAGTGTTGACACTTCCACTCTTTTTCCTCAATGGTAAATGGTTATCAAGCCAAGTCAGGGAGTGGACCACCTGGTTCTGTAAGGAACTGGTTATTTGAGGACAGGTGCACATATCAGCACTCGTTTCCTGATAATGACCAAACAGAGACTTAATTCCTTCATACAGATTCCTAAAAAAGAAAGATATAGCCTTACTTCCCATGGTGATTAAAAGCCCAGCTCTGGAGTCACATACACTGAGCTCACTCTGTCTACGAGGAGCTTATTTGCTTCACATCTTTAAGCCTCAGTTTCTTCATCTGTAAAATCCCAATGGTAATTAACATACTGATATCATTAAGTTATTATGTGAAGTGTGTAGAGAAAAAATGGGTTTTTTTGTTTTGTTTTGTTTTGTTTTGAGACAGAGTTTCACCCTGTTGCCCAGGCTGGAGTGCAGTGGCACGATCTCGGCTCACTGCAAACTCTGCCTCCTGGGTTCAAGCAATTCTTGTGCCTCAGCCTCCCGAGTAGCTGGGATTACAGACATGCACCACCAGGCCCAGCTAATTTTTGTATTTTTGATAGAGATGGGGTTTCGCCATGTCAGCCAGGCTGGTCTCGAACTCCTGGCCTCATGTGATCCACCCACCTCGGCCTCCCAAAGTGTTGGGATTACAGACGTGAGCCACTGCACCCAACCTAGAAAAATGTTTATCATTGTCCATGCTTTGTAAATGTTCACCAAGCATTTTTTATGATGGTGATGATGATGGAGACTCTTGACACTGCAGCCCCAACATTATCATTGATGATTTGCTGTGTAATCTTGAGCAATCCTTAGACTTCTTTGAGCCTTGGTTTATTCCTCCTCTCCTCTCCACTCCCACCTCCACAACCCTCACCCCCCATTTCCCACCCCACATCTTCTGACTACCTTTCCAGACTTCACTTCTGCTGCATTTTGCTTTCTACAGAAACGGTGTAGCAGAGTAATTAGACACAGTCTTCAAAGCCCAGACAACATCTGAGGCTCAGCTCTGTGATCTTGGCCAAGGTATTTAAGTTGGCTTTCTCATCTGTTAAAAATAGGGATGCCAGTAGCATCCACCTTGTGGCCTGCTGTGAGTATTAAGAGATAAAGCATGGAAAGTGCAAAGCACAGTGCCTGACACAAAGGGCAGTTGCAATGATGCCAACTATTGTTACATGCCATTTATCATTTTCAGCACATTTTCACATTCATGCTCTCACGTGATTCCTTCACCACGTGTGTAGTCTTACAACCACTCTGTAAAATAGGCATGCTATGTTCCCCAGTTTACAGCTGAAGAAACGGAGGTTTGTACAGATCATATCACAAAGCTACTTGGTGACTGTGCAAGGATTAAGATCCAGTTCTCATAACCTATAGATAAATGTTTGTTCTGTGCCACACTGCTATAACTCCAAAGAGCACAGACTAAAAAAATTGGAGGACCAGGACCTACAAAGTACACGTAAGCAACAGTCTAAGTGCATCAAAAGTGGAAATCCAACCCAATATCATGCCATGCCCAGCTCCCCTCAAGAGAAAATAGTAAGTAATGATAATGGAGATAACAAAGGACCCCAGAGGAGATGGTCTCCTGGAGTAGAAAGAAATAATCTTCCGACAGGAAATGAAGGATCAGTTATGATGTACTGCCTTGAGGGTAGACCACAAATGACATAGTTTTCTCCCTATTTATTAAAATTAATCCAAAGTAGGGCAGGAGGTGCTATTTCCAAGCAGGCATATTTCATAATATAGTATTTCTTATATATATCTCATAATATATCTTACTAGATCTCACTTAACATCACCAATAGGTTCTTAGAACCTGCAACTTTCAACAAAATGACTACAACATAACCAATTTTATTTCTCATCAACATTATAACAAAACAACATTATTTGATAAACTGCTATATGTCATTTCACTTAAAGTCTGTTCCCAATAACCTGTCAATGATGTTAAATGAAGACTTATGTACTATGATTTTTTCCTCACTGGCTTCTTAATTATTTGTGTGTTTAACTTAATTATTTGTGTGTTTACAGATGATATAGGGGAAAAAACTCTCAGATCTAAAAAAAAAAAAAAACTTAAGAAATTGCCTAGTCTGGCTCTCTATTTTCTGGAGAGAGAATCTGGTTGTTAGAATGGTAAGGTCACTTGAGCAAGGTCACACAGCAAGAAATAGGTGTGGTAGAAACACAGGTCTGATGCTCTCTGCAGTGCTCAAAGATTCCCCTCCCTTCAGCTTCTTTTCCCTCTGGATTCCACCTACCAAAACTTTTGGACGACTCTCCCATTCAAGCCTCTTTTCTTGTCACTCAAAGTGGCTTTGGGAAACTGCTATTAGTATAATAACAAGAAAAGCAACTTATTCTTGAAGAACTTATTATATGCTACTACATACCAGGCAGTGAACAGAGCACTTCTGTATCTATCACCTAATTTAGGCTTGATAACAACCCCCATAAAGTGGGAAAGTTTATCTCCAGTTTACAGATGAGAAAGCTGAGGATCAGAAAATTAGGTTATTTTCCTAAGGACACACAGCTAATAAGTAGCAAGGGTAGAACTTGAACTCAGTGCGTGATCTCCTAAGCCAAATGTAAACATTTAATTCCTGAATGTTTGGGACTACCCAGCCCTTCCTTGTCTCCTTTCATCACAGAGAATTAGAGCAAAAGGGAACTTCAGCTTGAACAGACATAGAAACTGGAGGCCAGAGAGAGGATTGCACTTGCCCATGGACACACACACACACAGCTAATTAGTGGCATAGTCAGCCCAGGCTCCCTGACTTCCAGCCTGGGTTCTGCCTCTCCAACCACACAAACAGCTAGTTGTGCACCATGGGTCCAAGGTAATATGGACATAGTCCGGGTTTCAGAAACTTTCCAGGCTGTGTTTGTTCTCCAGAAAAAGCAGGAGTGCATAGCAGCTCTATAAACAGCTGGAGTCCCCAGGCCTAACTGCCTACCTCCCAGGACCTGGCTTTATTCACCGGAGCTAACAGACCTGAGAGCAGAGAGGCAGCCAGCAAAGCAACAGGGGTCTCTATCCAGTCCTGACAAGGAGAGGGCTGAGACTGCCTGTCCTTTAACTGACCTTTTCTGGGACTCTCTTTGAGTCTGTGCAGCAAGAGGAAGGTAAAAGTTGAAACAGAAATGTACAAGGGAGGCCACATGCAGTGGCTTATACCTGTAATCCCAGCACTTTGGGAGGCCAAGGTGCGCAGATTGCTTGAGCCCGGGAGTTCGAGACCAGCCTGGGCAAATGGTGAAATCCTGTCTCTACTAAAAAAAAAAAAAAAAAAAAAAAATTGCAGGGCATGGTGGCACATGCTTGTAGTTCCAGCTACTCCTGGAGCAGGGGCTGAGGCAGGAAGATCACCTGAGCCTTAGGAGGTCAAGGCTGCAGTGAGCTGTGATCATGCCACTGCACTCAAGACTGGGCAACAGGGTGAGGCTCTGTCTCAAAAAAAAAAAAAAAGGAAAAACAAAAAGAAAGAAACGTACAAAGGAAAAGAGGAAAGGGAATCCTGATCTAGAGCAGCCCCTCTGGTATTCTACAAAGAGCTAAAACTCAGATGAAAACCTCTAGCTTGTCTGGACAAATGTGTGTAAGTGTGTGCACTGGAGCATCTATGGATCTGTGTAGTATGTATGTGGAGGTATATACTGAGGGATCGTGGAATTGTGCAGTGGCATACATAGGCATGTGTATATGTGATGCTAATTTGAACATGTGTAGACATGTAACTTCAAAGAGAAATGTGTATGATCTATAGGTATGGATATAAGTATGTGTATTTCTATGTTTATATTTGTACATGTGGAAATCTGTACATATGAATACACATGTATCTGTGAGTTTGCATACATGTAGGAGATGTGAAAGTACTTAAGAACGAATGTGCATGGAGTGTATTATTTTCTTTGGGTATTTGTATGTGGATATTTGTGAATATATAAAGAGATATTTAAGTATGTATCCGCATTTGAGTAGGCATGTTTACATGTGTGTACATGCATGTGCATGTGAATGTGAATGTGTGTGCATATGAATACAAGTGAATAAGTAAAAGAGTATTTAAATGTACCAGTATGGGAGTATGACTATACATGTGTGCACATTAAGGGACTTGTATATTGCTGGAATTTGTGTAGAACTGTATATAAACATGAGAGAGAGAGACAGAGTGAGAGAGAGAGAGAGAGAGTGTGTGTTGACATCCTTTGGGCATGAATCCCAGTATTTCCATTATTAGAACATGTGTTCCAGCCTCTCTTGCCAAGGGGCAGGCTAGCTTGGCACAAGACAGGTGCACTGTGGCCAGGACCCCTGCTGATTGATGACAGCCTATGCAACTACAGTCCACAAGTTTGGCCTTATTTGACTTTAAGGGGCAATGGACAGAGATCTGAACCAGGAGTCAGGAGACCAGGGTTTGAGTTCTCACTCTGCCACCATTAATACTTCTGAGATACACTTCCCCCAGGTACCTGGCCCTAAGAATGGTGTATAGGATCACACAGAGTAATAGGTATGCAAGTCTTTGGTAAATGCTATAGAAATATAAAAGATTATTTACTACTAACTAGTCAGCCAAAGCAAAGACTTTGCATTAGTCCATTTTCACACTGCTAATAAAGACATACCCAAAACTGGGCAATTTACAAAAGAAAAGGTTTAAATGGACTTACAGTTCTACATGGCTAGGGAAGTCTTACAATCATGGTGGAAGGCAAGGAAGAGCAAGTCACATCTTACGTGGATGGCAGCAGGCAAAGAGAGAGCTTGTGCAGGAAAATTCTCCCTTATAGTAAACATCAGATCTTGTGAGACTTACTCACTATCACAAGAACAGCTTGGGAAAGACCTGCCCCCAACGATTCAATTATCTCCCACCAGGTCCCATCCATAACACATGGAAATTCAAGATGAGATTTCAGTGGGGACACAGCCAAATCATATCATTCCGCTCCTGGCCCCTCCCAAATCTCATGTCCTCATATTTCGAAACCAATCATGCCTTCCCAACAGTCCCCCAAAGGCTTAATTCATTTCAGCACTAATTCAAAAGTCCACAGTCCAAAGTCTCTTCCAAGACAAGGCAAGTCCCTTCCATCTATGAGCCTGTAAAATCAAAAGCAAGTTAGCTGGCCAGGCACAGTGGTTCATGCCTGTAATCCCAACACTTTGGGAGGCCGAGGTGGGCGGATCACTTTAGGTCAGGAGTTCAAGACCAGGCTAGCCAATATGGTGAAACCTCATCTCTACTAAAAATACAAAAATTATCCAGACTTAGTGCAAGCCTGTAGTCCCAGCTACTTGGAGGCTGAGGCTGCAGAATTGCTTGAACCCAGGAGGCGGAAGTTGCAGTGAGCCGAGATGGTGCCACTGCACTCCAGCCTGGGCAAGAGAGTGGGACTCTGTCTTAAAAAAATACGTAAATAAATAAAATAAAATCTGAAAAAAAAAAGGAAGTTAGTTACTTCCTAGATACAATGGGGGTACAGGTATTGGATAAATACAGCCATTCTAAATGGGAGACATTGGCCAAAACAAAGGGGCTACAGGCCCCATGCGAGTCTGAAATCCAGTAGGACAGTCAAGTCTTAAAGATCCAAAATGATCTCTTTTGACTCCACGTCTCATATGCAGGTCACACTGATGCAAGGGGTGGGTTCCCATGGTCTTGGGCAGCTATGCCCCTGTGGCTTTGCAGGGTAGAGCCTCCCTCCTGGCTGCTTTCATAGGCTAGCGTTGAGTGTCTGTGGCTTTTCCAGGCTCACAGTGCAAGTTGTCAGTGGATCTACCATTCTGGGGTCTGGAGTGTGGTGGCCGTCTTCTCACAGCTCCACTAGGAGGTGCCCAAGTAGGGACTCTGTGTGGGGGCTTCAACCCCACATTTCCCTTCTGCACTGCCCTAGCAGAGGTTCTCCATGAGGGCCCCACCCCTGCAGCAGACTTTTGCTTGGGCATCCAGGGGTTTCCATACACCTTCTGAAATCTAGGCAGAGGTTACCAAACTTCAATTCTTGACTTCTGTGCACCCGCAGGCTCAATGCCACGTGGAAGCTGCCAAGGCTTGGGGCTTCCACCTTCTGAAGAAACAACCTGAATTGTACTTTGGCACCTTTTAGTCATGGCTGGAGTGGCTGGGACACAGGGCACCAAGTCTCTAGACCGCACACAGCACAGGGACCCTGGGCTTGGCCCACGAAACGATTTTCTCCAAAGCCTTTGGGCCTGTGATGGGAGTGGCTGCTGTGAAGACCTCTGACATGCTCCGGAGACATTTTCCCCATTGTCTTGGGGATTAACATTTGGCTCCTCATTACTTATGCAAATTTCTTCAGCTGGCTTCAATTTCTCCTCAGAAAATGGGTTTTTCTTTTCTAGCACATTGTCAGGCTGCAAATTTTCCAAATTTTTATGCTCTGCTTCCCTTATAAAACCGAGTGCCTTTAACAGCAACCACATAACTTCTTGAATGCTTTGCTGCTTACTTCCACCAGAACCCTAAATCATCTCTCTGCAGTTCAAAGTTCCACAAATCTCTGGGGCAGGGGCAAAATGCTGCCAGTCTCTTTGCTAAAACATAACAAGCGTCACCTTTGCTCCAGTTCCCAACAAGTTCCTCATCTCCATCTGAGACCACCTCAGCCTAGATTTTATTGTCCATATTGCTATCAGCATTCTAGGCAAAGCCATTCAACAAGTCTCTAGGAAGTTCCAAACTTTCCCACATTTTCCTGTCCTCTTCTGAGCCCTCCAAACCGTCCCAACCTCTGCCTGTTACCTAATTTCACATTTTTGGGTATCTTTTCAGCAGTGCCCAAAGTCACTTCCACATTTTCAAGTATGTTTTCAGCATTGCCCCACTTTACTGGTACCAATTTACTGTATTAGTCCATTTTCATGCTGCTGATAAAGATATGCCTGAGACTGGGCATTTACAAAAGAAAGACCTTTATTGGACTTACAGTTGCATGTGGCTGGGGAGGCCTCACAATCATGGCAGAAAGTGAAAGGCATGTCTCACATGGCAGCAGACAAGAGAAGAACTTGTGCAGGGAAACTCCTCTTTTTAAAACTATCAGATCTTGTGAGCTTATTCACTATCACGAGAACAGCATGGGAAAGACCCGCCCCCATGATTCAATTACTTCCCACCAGGTCCCTCCCATAACACATGGGGATTCAAGATGAGATTTGGGTGGGGACACCAATACCCAAACATAAGGAAATGCCCTTCTGGGTTTTGGAGTTTTTTGTTGTTGTTGTTGTGTTTTTGTTTTTGTTTTTGTTATTTGCTTGTTTTTATTTTTACTGGTATCTCTTCATTCATTTGTTCTTTCCACTCCATTTATTAATTAATGTCTTACATGTGCTAAATTTGGCATTAGGCTCTAGAGATAGAGTTCTGTTTTAGTCCTATAAGCTAGGCTTTCCTGCATTAACAAATCCCCAAAATCTCAACATCTTCAGACAACAATGATTCATTTATCACTCATCTAAAGTCTGCTGCAGATGTAAGGGCTCTCCGGGACTGCTTTCCCCCAGGTAGTAGCTCAGCATTGCATTTCCGTATCAACACACAATTTCACATTTGCCACACAAGAGAACAATACACTGAAGGGTTGAACACTGTTGTATTAGTGTGTGCTACCATAACAAAGTACCACAGATTGGATGCCTTCAACAACAGAAAATTATTTTGTCACAGTTCTGGAGGTTAGAAGTCCAAGTTCCAGGTGCCACCAGAGTTGGTCTCTAGTGAGGGCCCTTTTCCTGGCTTGTAGACAGCTTCTTTTCACTGTGTCCTCAAATGGCTTCTCTCTGTGCAAAGAGAGACAGAGAGAGAGAGAGAGAGATCTGGCACCTCTTTCTCTCCTTATTAGGACACAAATCCTACTGAATTAGGGCCCCACCCTCATGACCTCATTTAACCTTTATCACCTCCTTAAAGACTCCATCTTCAAATATAGTCACTCTGGGGGTTAGGGCTTCAACATATAAATTTTGGAGGGACACATTCAGTCCATAACAACTGCCAAGTAAATGTGTTCCACCTAGGAGTGACTTCTGCTTGCATGTCACTATCCAAGGGAAGTCACATGGCACTGCCCAAAGAGAAGTATAATCCTCCTATGGTACCAGAAGTAAACAGGAACCAGACATCAGTGAGTAGGAGGTCTCTGCTTTCAAGGAGTCTATTTTAAGGAAAACAAGATAATACCACAGTAGGATGGGTGAGATTACAGAGCTATGCAAGGATGCTGTGGAACACAGAAGTTAATAATAATTCTCTGTAAATTATTAATAATAATTCTCTGAATATGTACGTGTCAGGCACTGTTGTGTGCTTTCGAGTTATTTTTCTTTTTTCTTTTTTTCTAAACTGATCGGCACCAAATTGACTGATTTTACTAAAGCAGCAATCTGGTCATGGTACTCCCCATGTTCAAACCTTCCAGGAGAGAACAGTTTCAAGGGATGAACCAAAGGATGAAAGGGTTTCAAAAAAACTGTTGTGTGTTCAATAGTGCCAAAAGAGGAAAGAAAAGTCAAGTAGAAAAGAAAGTGTCATCCAGTAGTTTCAGCAACGGGGTATAGGGGAAGGGAGGGCACATATGTAGAATTAGGGAATGTAATTTCAGGGGCATGAAGAAAGCAAAGGATAAATTGAAACAAAGACAGCATGAAGATAAACCTTTCAAAAAGCTCTACTGTGAAAAGAATGTGAGGTGTTAGTATTGGTGTTTGTCATTTACTGAGCACTTTTCTGAAAGCCAGGTAATTTTGGTTAGTGAATTATGGGAATTATTTCATGTACAACAATCCCATTTTATAGATAAGGAAACTGAGGCTTAGAGAAGCTTGATTCACCCAAATTTTTCCAGCCAATAAATGGCACAGCCAGTTATCATCCCCAGGCTGCCTGACTCCTGAGGCCCTGTTCTTGGCCTACTCCATTTGCTGAGCATAAAGAAAGAGGGAAGTGGGAAGTGGCAGAGCCAAGGGCACCAGGGCCATGTAAGGGTATCGCCTCATCCTGGTCTTCTGCAGAACGGTTTGGTCAATAAGAAGCTCAGTAGGATTTGTGCAGTCTTGTCTATGGTCATACCACCCTGAACACACCCAATCTCGTCTAATCTCTGAAGCTAAGCAGGGTCAGGCCTGGTTAGTACTTGGATGGGAGGATTTGTCCAGTCCTATAAGAACTTGTGTCACAAGAACGACCTTGGTCATCCATCATTTTGGGTATTTGCAAATAAGGCCTCAAGATACAAGAAAACAGCTACCACACAAGGAGATCAAAAGCCCCTTATAGCCAGGTGTGGTTGTTCATGGCTCTAATTCTAGCACTCTGGGAGGCTGAGGTAAAAGGATCACTTGAAGCTAAGAGTTCAAGACCAGCCTAGGCAACAAAGTGAAACCCCATCTCTACAAAAAAATTAAAATATCAGCTGGGCATGGTGGCATGCACCTGTAGGCCCAGCTATTCAGGAGGCTGAGGAGAGAGGAGATCACTTGAGCCCAGGAGTTTAAGGATGCAGTGAGCTATTATTGTGCCACTGTACTCCAACCTGGGCAACAAAGCAAGACCCCAACTTTTTTTTTTTAAGCCCTTTATACCCAAACATAAATATTAACACATTGGCTAGGGAGCAGTCATTTAGTCACAAGTCAAAGTCAACCTATCCTGGGATCAGTTGATCAAATGAAGCAGACATTTTAAATCACAAAAATAAAACTTAAATCCATCTACTTTTTTCCCACTTTGTTGCTCTCAGCTCCTAGTTAAAATTGGCATAATCTCTCTCCTGCTTGACAAAATGGCCTCCTAACTGGTCTCCTTCCTTCCCCTCCTCATGCTCCCTATCACTTCCCATAGTTTCTAGAAGGATCATTTTAAACTGCAAATCGGATCACAGAATTATCCTACTTCCAATCCTGCAACAACTTGCAAAGGTTCTTACCACATTCTGTTCCCTCTGCCCAGAAAGATCTTTGCATGCCTGGCTCCTTCTCACCCTTCAGGTCTCAGCTCAGACATTGCTTCAGGGAGTCCTTCTCCACCCCCCTACCTAAAAATATCCCTCTCTTCCAGTTACTCTCTATCACATCACCATGTTCTATTATCCTCAGAGCAATATCTAAAATTTAAAAGTTCACTTGTTTGTTTGTTGCCTTATTGGCTTTTTCAGCTGGAGTGGGGACCTTGTTTCCCTCAATCACCTCTATATTTCCAGTGCCCACCACACTGCTTAAATCACAAGAGCTAGTCAGTATTTGTGGAAAGGTTCTCTAAGCACACCCCCATCTGTTGTCAGAATCCCTGCCATAAACATCATATCCAAGTACTTTTTGCTTGCACACCTCCAGTGATGGGGAACCTACTACCTCCCAATTTTAGATTCAAGGGGTCATGTGGAGGTTTGTTACATGGATATATTGCATAATGTTGGTATTTGGGTTTCCATTGAACCCGTCACCCAAATAGTGAACATAATAACCAATAAGTAATTTATTTATTGGTCTTTCATCTCAAGGTGGAACTCAGCGCACTGAGGAGAGCACCCTGATGGTAAAGGGACTGCCCATTTCATCTTTGGGCAGCTCTGAAATCTCCATTTACCCACAGCTTTAGTCCTGACCTAGTGCCACACAGAATCAACCAAATCAACTGACAACCCTTCACATAATTGAGATCGGCTCTCCCTGTCCCTTCCCCAGCCTGGCTTCCTCAACCATTCTCTCTAGTTTTCAGTCCCTTCACCACCAGGGTGCTCTCCTCAAAGTGCATCCAGCACTTGATTTCCATCTTGAGATGAAAGGTGAAGAAATAAACTACCTATAGGGCACTATGTTCACTATTTAGTTGATGGGTTCAAAAGAAGCCCAAGCTCCAGCATTACGCAATATACCCATGTAACAAATCTGCACATATACCCCCTGAATCTAAAATAACAATTTTTAAAAAGAAAAAGAAATAGACCCAGCCTGACAAGGAGTGTTCCGAGCAGAGCAAAGTGGGGCCATACTTATTCTGGGTTAGTGAATTTCAAAGCATTGTTTTTAATAGCAGTCCCACCTTAGTTCAATTTTTAAGGTAAACCTTTTTTTTTTTTTTTTTGAGACAAAGTGTCACTCTGTCACCCAGGTTGGAGTGCAGTGGCGTGATCTCAATCTCGGCTCACTGCAACCTCCACCTCCCAGGTTCAAGCCATTCTTTTGCCTCAGCCTCCTGAGTAGCTGGGATTACAGGTGTGCGCCACCACACCCGGCTAATTTTTGTATTTTTAGTAGAGATGGGGTTTTACCATATTGGCCAGGCTGGTCTCAAATTCCTGACCTCAAGCTATCCACACCGTCAGCCTCCCAAAGTGCTGGGATTATAGGCATGAGCCACCGCGCCTGGCTGTAAGGTAAATCTGATGTAGCACTTTAATAAACAAATTTCTTAAATGGGTGGTTCTGGTTGAACTGGAGAGGGAACCAAGAATCTCATTCTCTTGACCTCTCTCTCAACCTCTGCCTCCCCCAGGAAGCCCTTGGAAAACCTTCTCTAGGCCCTAAAATCCATTTCTACCCATTCCACCTCAAAGACCTTTCCATTTCGGGAACCATGTCACAGTGTTCACTTGCAGTATGCTTACGGACAGCAGCACCCTGGAACATTTTTTTAAAGTGCATTAGTAATACATGAAAACAAGCTTTTGTAATTAGTTCAATAAAAAAGAAAAAGAGAATGAGAAATAAGAATGCCCCTGCTTTGCCCTCCCCTCCAATTCCCTTTGTCCTATCCTGAGGTAATAAAATTTAGTGGACACCATACTAGTCCCCTTTCCTTGATTGTTCATACATTTAGGTACATATACATGTCTTTATATAAGTAGGATTGTGCAATACAATTTGCTTTTTCCACTCCACCACAGCTTGACGCCTCTCTCGACATGGCTACATATAGATCTACCTTACTGTTTTTAACTCTCTACACAATCCCAAATTTCGAAACATGGGAAAACAAATATATTATTTATTATTAGATTAAATGTATGACAAAATTATACTATGTTTCCAGGCTTTATAGCCTCCTGGTAAAATTCCATGGTATGGAGACATCATCATTTCACAGTATTTAACCACTTTTCTCTTGACATGCTTTTAGGTTTTTTCAGCTTTACACTATTACAAACAAGGCTACAATGAGCATTCTTGTGCATAACCCTCTGTGTGCATTTCTTTAGGATATATTCCAGAAGTAGAATTGCTTTAATGAAAGAATAGTCACTTTTTTAAAAGTATTTTGCCCAATTCCCTTCCCAAAAAAGCTTCAATAATTTACATTCCCTACAATAGTGTTTATTTCTCTTCATCCTTGCCAACCCAAGGTATTATCAAGCTTTTTTATTTTCACCAAATGGGATTTTCAAAATGGTACTTCATTGTCATTTTCAATTTGCACTTCAGATTCCTAGTGAATCTGAGCATCTTTTAATATGTTGACTGGGCATTTTGAATAATATTATAGGTTTCTTTTTTTATATGCATCTCCTAAATCCATTTGGAGTTTAATTTTATACGAAGAATTTGGTGGTGGCTTAACTCTATTTTTCTCTGATTGAGTTTCTATTATTCCAACACCATTTCTTAAACAGTCACTGTTTTTCTACTAATTTGAAATGCTATCTTTTTCATAAACTAAATCCCCATGTATGCATTTCTAGTCTCTAGTCTCAGTTTATTGCTCCATTGCTCTGTTTCTATACCAATATCACACTGCTTTAATTTCTATGACTCATTATATTTCTATGTCTGGTAGAGAAAGCCGTCTGTTGTTCTTCATTTACAAGTTTTTCTTAACGCTTTCAGCCCTTTCTTTCTTCCATGTGAACTTTAGAATCAGTTTATTGAGGCCTATAAAAATCGTCTCACGGCCGGGCGCGGTGGTTCACGCCTGTAATCCCGGCACTTTGGGAGGCCGAGGCAGGCAGATCACGAAGTCAGGAGGTTGAGACCATCCTGGTTAACACAGTGAAACCCCGTCTCTACTAAAAATACATAAAAAAAATTAGCCGGGCGTGGTGGCGGGCGCCTGTAGTCCCAGCTACTCGGGAGGCTGAGGCAGGAGAATGGCATGAACCCAGGAGGCGGAGCTTGCAGTGAGCCGAGATCGTGCCACTGCACTCCAGCCTGGGCGACAGAGCGAGACTCTATCTCAAAAAAAAAGAAAAAAAAAAAAGCCTCTCAGGTTTTGATTAGGATTGCATTAAGTTTAAAGATTAATTTGGGAATAAAGTACATCTTTACAATATTTTATTAGTACATCTCTCCAATTATACAGGTATTCCTTTATGCCTTTCAGTAAAGTTTTTGATTTTTTTAAATATATACAACTCACATATTTCATGTTAGGTTTATTCACAGATATTTTGTGGGGGTGGTTGCTATTATGGATGAGATCTTTTGTTGTTGTTCCTTTTTCCATTACACTTTTGTCTCTCTACACAGCTTATGCTAGGTCCCTTCTTATCTTCTTGGGTCTGGGGGATCCAAGAGAAAGTCTATTCAGCGTTATCCAATTAGATATGGTGCCACACTCAACAAAGCTTTAGTAAACAAAAGACTAAGAGAGGGCCAAGGAGAAAGCCCTCAGAAATGCCATTAGAGTCTATCACAAGCAGACCATGGGGTGATGAGCAGTCTTGGTACCATCTGCTGGATGATTCTCTCCCAGTACACCAGGGGAGGTGTCACAGCAATGAACTTATGACTGCCCAGAGCGTGACTCTTCATCAGATCAAATTCCAGAAGGCTGACTCATGACCGTCAAACCCACGAATGACTGAAGTGGGGAAATCAAACTGCCAAATTGTTCCAATTTACAGTAAGACTTTCTATTGTAATAATAAGAATGCCATGTCCACCAGGAGTGTGCTCCCTTGCCAAGCAAAAGTTGCTTTTAACATAACTGGAATTGGAGAAAAGAGAGGTAGACAGTCTTGAGGGAAGTTTCATCCAGGCCAGAGAGAGTTCTAAGAAACCATCCTTGCGTCACCACACAGAAGCCCTCCTTCTAATGGCAAGAAAGTTGGTGTTTCCACAAATATAGTGATGCAGTATGCTAGATTACCAATTGCCAAATTCCTCCTACTTGAACGGCCCTTTCTTATGCTACAGAATGAATGTCCCACATATGTTTACAAAACAGTCCCCAAAACAAGATGTAATACAATAAATTAGGGTTCTTCTCATTACATTACAAGCACATGCCCATCCTAAGTCATTGAGATTACACATAGATCATTCAGATTGATGCCAGGCCTCAGATTTGAACATGCAAATCCCTCCATTGCATATTCATCTCCGTTGTTTGTTTTTTAACTCTCAGAGGGTGATCTTAGTTTCCATATTTCCAAGTTTGTTAGTGGCATGTCTCACCATTGTGCCCTGCACTGCCAACACTATCAGCTTTCCTCTTTCCAGGTTAACATCCACCCTTCCTTCCTTCCATTTGCACCCTTTGGCAACCAGTTATAAATCTACTTCATTGCTCAATGTCCCAATCCAAAATTCTTCGCCTGATACTGATTATAAGGTTATTTATGCACCAACCTGTCTGTCACATGGGCTCAGTGGGTCCCCAGTATACTACGTCTACTATATTTCCTTGATCTACCCAATAGATAGTCTAACATATTGTATTTAATATTTAATAAAAAGTTTAAATATATGTTTAAAATATTTAATAATTTTAATAAATATTTACTTTTAAAATATTTTAAATAGATGTTTTAAAATAAAATAAATTGAACTTGGTTTAAAATTTTTTTTAAATGGGAAGATACAGCCTATAATTGTCAAAAGAGTGTGAAATTGGGAACCAGAAGTCCTGGATTCATATCTCTGTTCCTAGCACCTACTAGCTATGTGATCTTGGGCAAGAAACTTAACCTCCATTTAACCACTCTAAATTTTGGTTTCCTCTCCAGTGAAATAAGTATAATAATGCCCAGTATGCTAGGTTGATGAAAAGGTTTTTTTTGTTGTTGTTGTTTTGTTTTTGTTTTTGTTTTTGTTTTTTGAGGTGGAGTCTCGCTCTGTCGCCCCAGCTGGAGTGCAGTAGCACAATCTCAGCTCACTGCAACCACCACCTTCCAGGTTCAAGCAGTTCTGCCCCCTCAGCCTCACAGGTAGCTGGGATTACCAGTGCTTGCCACCAAGTACAGGCTAATTTTTGTATTTTTAGTAGAGACGGGGTTTCGCCATGTTGGCCAGGCTGGTCTCAAACTCCTGACCTCAGGTGATCTACCCACGTTGGCCTCCCAAAGTGCTGGAATTACAGGCATGAGCCACCACACCCAACCAAAAAGTTTAGCAATATGATACATAGAAAGTTCTATGTGGTGGCTCATGCCTGTAATCCCAGCACTTTTGTACGCCAAGGCGGGTGGATCACTTGAGGCCAGGAGTTTGAGACCAGCCTGGCCAACATGGTGAAACCGTGTCTCTACTAACAATACAAAAATTAGCCAGGCATGGTGGTAGATGCCTATAATCCCAGCTACTCAGGGGGCTAGGGCAGGAGAATCCGTTGAACCTGGGAGGTGGAGGTTGCAGTGAGCAGAGATCGCACCACTGCACTCCAGCCTGAGTGACAGAACAAGACTCCATCTCAGAAAAAAAAAAAAAATTTAGCAAATGTCAGACATCCAATACACCCAATAAACAGAACTGCTATTCACATTCTTATGTAATTATTAAATTCACATTGATCTTTAGTGATCCCCTAAAGACAAACAAAGATGCTAAGCTCCACTGGTCCAAACCATCTACAGTTCTTTACAACAAATGTAGCTCTGATTGTGTGATATCTAAATGAGAATGCACCAGGCAGCATGGTGACTTAGGAGAAATTCAAGACACAAAGCATCTGGGGCCAAGCAGGCAATAGACAGGGATCTGGGCAGTCCACAAGCACTGGACTTGAGTATAGAGCAGACAGCAGATCAAATCCATGGCTCGAGGCAGAAATAAAGCACTAGCAGACTGCTAAATCTAGGGCAGAAGCTTTCTGTCCTTTGCCCTTTTCAATACTTCCTGTTAGTTGTGGGCATCTAAAAACCCACAGGTACGTCATAGCAGCCAGAGGCAGTACCTAATGACACTGAGGTGTCATCAAACTGTCACTCAATTCATATCTGGGATATCATGGGTAGTGTAGTCTACTGGTTAAACGCTTGGGCTCTGACATTAACGTCCTGGGTTCAAATCCCAGCTTTGTCACTTACTAGTTATGCAGTGTCATGAGTGTAACATTAACCTCTCTGTACCTTGATTTCCCTGCAAAATGAGAATAACAATAAAACCTACCTCACAGGGTTATTGTGAAGATAAAAAATAACACACATAAAGGTCTTAACACAGTTTCTTGCATGTGGTGAAGTCTCAGAATATTAGTATTATTTGCATTGTTATTATTAATTCTGAATTTACCAGTAACTAGCAGCAGGAACTTGAGCTTTTAGGGCTTTAGTTTTCACAACTGTCCAACAGGATTCCTGCATGCAGGTTCCACCTTAGTCAATTGAATTGCTGTGTGCCCCTGAGGGAGACTCCCTTTCTGTAAAATGAGAGAGTTGAGACAGAAGTCTCCAGGGTTCTTTCTAGCTGTAATATTTGATGATGAAAATCATGATGATAAGAATGATGATTCTCTCATCTAGCTCCAATCTCCATTCCTGCTATCTTAGTTTAGAACCTTTATTACCTCCCAACTGGATTGTCACAACAGCCTTAAAGCAGGTCTTTCTGTACCTGTTTTCTCCTGCTTCCAATTGTCTACAGTGGTTCCTGCCATACTGATCTTCCTGAAATCAAACTGTGACATTACCCCACTGCTTAAGTCTTCAATGGTGCTAAATTGGCTAGCAAATAAAATCCAAATACCTTGGTTTGGCAGTTAAGGATATCCACAGTCAAATTAATTCATTTTGCAGCCTTATCACAGCAGAGTAGTTAAGAGCCTGAACTTTATGTAATCAGACAAACCAGGTTTGAACACCAGCCCCACTCTTTCCTAACTGTGTAAATCCAGAAAAAGCACTTAATCTCCCTGCACTTTCTTCATCTATAAAATTAGGTTGAAAATGCCCAAGTCATAGGATTGTTTTAAAGATAAAATAAGCTGACATGTATGGCATGCTTAAGACATAATGCCTGTTGTATAGTAGGGCCTCAATAAGGGGCAATTATTATTATTTATGCTGCTAATGGTTGAGCTAAACTGAACTGTTTGAATGCCCCTGCCTACACACCTCTGCTTGTGCTATTCCTTCTACATGAGATTCCTTTTACCCCCAATTATACATATTCTAATTCCAAATACTCTGAGGCTGCAGCCCTAGTCTTAATGTCTTACCCTTATCTCAAAGATGTGAGACATATAGGCTTAGAGCATATCGCTGGCCTTGTTCCAGGTGAAACCAGATACTGTTCACACCTCAGAACAATCCTAGATCTAGAGATGCTAACTTCTGGAGGATGGAACAAACTGAAAGGGGCCACCTCAAATGCTACCTTCTCCTGAAAAGCTTTTCCAGATTTGCCCAACTTGGCTGGAAATCATCTCTAATGGCAATTTGTTAAAAGTATTTATTTATTTATATTTATTTATGTATTTATTTTTGAGACAGGGTCTTGCTCTGTTACCCAGGCCGGAGTGCAGTGGCACAATCATGGCTCACTACAGCCTCAACCTCATGGGCTCAATTGATCCTCCCACCTCAGCCTCCCAAGTAGCTGGGACTACAGTCGTGCACCACCAGGCCCAGCTAATTTTTTTATTTTTACTTTTTTTGTACAGATGGAGTTTTCCACATTGCCCAGGCTTGTCTCAAACTCCTGGGCTCAAGCAATCTGCCCATTTTGGCCTCCCAAAGTGCTGGGATTACAGGCGTGAGCCACCGCATGCAGCCTGTTAGAACTTCTTATGACCCTCTCACTTTCAATTTTGTGTGGTAGATATTTGTGTCCATGCCTTATCTTGCTTACTAGATAAACTGAATTCTTTAAGTATACAAATGAAGACCCTGTGCCTCCACCGTCAACTGTACTCCCAATCAGCCTCATAAATGTTAATAGAGTTGGATTGAGTTTCGAGATGAGATATCCCCTTGGGAGCTGGAATGATAAGACTTTAAAAGGTATAAGAATCTGGTTCTTTTGTTTACCTCTTGATGCAATGTCTCTTGGTTCTGACTGCAATGGGCCCACCTCTTGCATTCCACATACCCTTCCCACCAACAATCTTGCACAAGCTCTTAGTTCTATCCTACTAAAACACTTCATGCTTCCTACTTCATCACAATACTGAGTTTAGAGGAGTTTATTAGGAGAGGTTAGAATCTGAAATGAGGCACAGTGGGGGTAGAGGTGGGGGACAGATCCAACTTCAGGTGGTGCATAGGAAGCCCTCAATAAATGTCTGTGGAATGAATGAATGAACAAATGAATGAGTTAATGCTCTACCTTGGTCTCATAAGCAGGGCAGCTAGTTGCCCAGTTACCAGAAATTAGATCATCAAGGAATCTGAGAGGCAGGATGGGTGAGTTGATGCTGAACACTGTTGAATCAGAGCTCTGGAAATCCCTCCTGCTTCAGGTTTGTGGGCTACCCTTGAGAGTTTGAGACCTAGAAGCCAGCTCTCAGAGGTGGAACCTCAGGTTCTAGGGTGGAGAATTCAATTGCTGCTCCTCCAGTCCCTGAACTTGAACATGGCCCCCCGCATGTCGAACACCAACCAGCATACGTATAGCTATGGCCAAATAAGCAAAACAGCCTTTAGCTTTCGGCCTATTACACCAATTACATTGATCTCTTCTGAACTGCATTTCTCACTGCTGTTTGCCAACTTAAGGGAGGAAATCAATGGCAGCAACTTGTTTGGGTAGCGGCTGCTAGGGCAGGCGCTGCCAGTAGGAGTCAAGCTGCCTGAGGACACCAAGGTACATTCTCCGTCTCTCGCTCTAACTTTTCATTAGTCATTTCATAATGAGAGACTCATTATGAAATACAAAGAGATGGATTTTATTTTGTTTTTCTTCTTTTAGATGATGTACGTCTAAAACATAAATTTTTTACTGACAACTTGCATTGCTTCTGAAATAACAGTAAAACATTTTTAAATATTAGTAATAAAATGCAAATGTAATAATGTCCATCTTTACTTAAAATTCTTCAAACGCTCCACATTATTATTAGGAAAAAGTTCAAATTTCTCAGTACAGCTTGCAAGACCCTGCATGTGTCCTCCCACTCCTCTATTCATTCACTTGCTATTCTTTCCAAAGTGCCACACTCTTGCTTTACCTCTAGGCCTTCACATATGCACTTCCAACTGCCCAAAATGCTTTCCCTCTTTGGCTCAACCGTATTTGGTCTCACCTTAAATATCACTTCTACCTGGAGACTTTCCTGATCACCACCCCCAAGTCCAGATGGGAACCTGTCTTCTATATTCCCTAGCACCCTGCGTTTAACCCCTATCAGAGCCCTTTCCTCAGTATGGTGTAAACATTACACTGGAGGCTCTGGAGCTGAATAAATATATCTTTCTTGTTCTCAGTGGATTCCTCAGTGCCTAGAATAGTATCTGGCACTTAAGAGAGCTCAGTTAAATGTTGCTGGAAAAAATAAAACTAACAACAATTAGCTGTTAGATTTGGAAAAGTTCTTAGAGACCATCTAGCCTAACTTCTTTTAACAGTGAGACTCAGAGAAGCAGAGCCAAGTTCTAATTCCAGATTCTTTACTGAATTGTTGTGTGATCTTAGGAAATACCTTTCCCCTCTGGGTCTCAGTCTTTCCAGATATAAAATAAGAAAAGTCCATTCTGTTCCAGCTTTTTCTGACTTTACCTCCTCTTCCTTCTTATAGGTACTAGGTAGCTCATAGGTGCACTGACTGAGTGACTAGGTGAGATGGTGCAGTGAAAATATAAGGTCTGGTTCATCCACTAAGATTGCTCCCAATCAAGCTGAGGACATAAGACATACACAGTGAAGAAGTGCTCAATTAAACATTCCAGGTGATTCGGTCTTGCTAGGAGATCAAAAAGGAAGAGGTCAGGGAAGCCTGGGGCATCAAGTCTCCTGCAGGAGATAAGCCTTAAGCTGAGAAGGCAGAATTTGCCTGAGCAATGAGGCTGACGGAAAGTGTCCCTCACACAGGATTGGCTGTCCACACCATGTGACGTAAATCACAAGTGCTCACTAGAGGCTCAGGCTGATGCTGATTGCAGTCCTAGCTCTGCCACTCACTGGCCCTGCTCCTGGGACACATTTCTCAGCCTTTCCAAACCTGTTTTCTTACCCTCACTATGGGAATCTGAATGTCTAGCTTGCAGGGATTTTGTGAGGATAAAATGTATGTGACAGTATCTAGAACGGCGCCTGCTGCCTAACAGACCATTTTAAGAAATGCCACTTTCTTTTCTTCCTGCTAGCCACATAAACGGACTTGACATGTCACTGGCAAGAACATCAAAAGTGCAGCTGGGGCTTGGGGACTGAAGGCTTTTTCTGCCCAACCATTCATAGTCTGTTCACTCTGATGTGACTTGCCCAATGCCTCATCATAACACACACACACACACACATGCACACTTCACGCAAAATCCAAGGGAGAAGGAGAAGGAGAGACTATTTCCAATCCCCTGATCAGATGGGACCAGAATGGGAGTTATCCATTACCATCAACAGGACAAAGAGCCAACACTCAGGCCAGGCCTGAAGTTCTTCCACCACCATGGGACTTATAAGATGTGAGATTATGAGGCCAAATGTCACTTTCTATGGGGCTGGAGGGAGAGGCTGCAATTAAATTATAGAACAATCCTATAAAATATCTTGGAACATTTTATGAAGCTATTGATATTTCTATAGGCAAACAGACTGAGGCATGAGCTGTAGGAGGAATTGAGCAGGGGTGAGGGTGAGAGTGGGGAGGAAGGTTGTTTGTTTTAGTTTATCCCTGCTGATAACAGATCAAGACTGATGAGGATTTATAAGCAGCATTCCAAAAGAAAATATTGCATGACCTCATTTATCCAGCACCCTCGGGAATAGCAGGTCCTCATGTATGGAGATTATTCCTTGGAGGAAAGCATTTAAAGTTGGACTTGAACTGAGGATATTAATCATTTGGGGAACTATAGACCCTTTGGGAGATCCAACATAGAGAGCTATGCCCTTCCTGCTTGGGAAACACAAATATACCCTAAACTCTACTTGTGTCATGATATTCATGAACTCCAGGTTTACAATGTCTCTGTAACAAAATTTAAAACTTTCCTTTTTGTTTTGTTTATTTGTTTGTGACAGGGTCTCACTCTGTCACCCAGGCTGGAGTGCAGTGTCATGATCATGGTTCACTGCAGCCTGGACCTCCCTGGGTTCAGGTGATCCTCCTACCTCAGCCTCCTGAGTAGCTGGGACTACAGGCTACTGTACAGGCCATCACATGTGCCATCACACCCTGCTACCTTCTGTACTTTCTGGTAGAAATGAGGTATCATCATGTTGGCCAGGCTAGTCTCAAACTCCTGGGCTCAAGAAATCCTCCCACCTTGGCCTCCCAACATGCTGGGATTACAGGCATGAGCCATCGCTCCTGACCAAAAACTTTCTTAATGGAAATATTTCTTAACTGCCTGACCCAGTTTTCTGCTATTGAGATCTACCCATACCATAATAGCTCCTCACGTTGTGAATAGAAACTGAATGGACTCTTTCAGTTCCTCTAGGATCAGCTGAGGCAACTGAGCAAACTCTCAGCTAGAAGTCAGAACACTTGGGTTCTAAAATCAGCTCTGGCCCTACATTTTCAGAGTGACATTGAGCCAGTCTCAATTCTCCCTGGACTTCAGTCTCTTTATCTAGACAAAAAAAATGTGGGAGGTGGGGATGGAGTTTTGACTAGAACAGCTATTCCTAACCTATATTCTATAGAAGATACTCACCATGCACAAATATAAGAATTCCATGGCCAAAATAAACCATATTCTATTCCCTTCTTGAGATGCACACAACTCATCAGCATATTAAGGTCTCTGAGAAGTCCTGCAATAAAGAAGCCTATTGTATTTCATCCGGTCTAACATTTCCCTAATTGATTTGGCTCCTGAATTTTTCTTTCAGTGGAATAACTACACTGCAGTACCATCAGAGAAACATTAACTAAGCATTGAGTTTAGAAGCTAGTAAGATGTCAGATTAGTAGATTGCAAAAATTTTCTCCCATTCTGTAGGTTGCCTGTTCACTCTGATGGTAGTTTCGTTTGCTGTGCAGAAGCTCTTTAGTTTAATTAGATCCCATTTGTCAATTTTGTTGCCATTGCTTTTGGTGTTTTAGACATGAAGTCCTTGACCATGCCTATGGCCTGAATGGTATTGCCTAGGTTTCCTTCTAGGGTTTTAATGGTTTTAGGTCTAACATTTAAGTCTTTAATCCATCTTGAATTAATTTTTGTATAAGGTGTAAGGAAGGGATCCAGTTTCGGCTTTCTATATATGGCTAGCCAGTTTTCCCAGCACCATTTATTAAATAGGGAATCCTTTCCCCATTGCTTGTTTTTCTCAGGTTTGTCAAAGATCAGATGGTTGTAGATGTGTGGTATTATTTCTGAGGGCTCTGTTCTGTTCCATTGGTCTATATCTCTGTTTTGGTACCAGTACAATGTTGTTTTGGTTACTGTCGTCTTATAGTATAGTTTGAAGTCAGGTAGCGTGATGCCTCCAGCTTTGTTCTTTTGGCTTAGGATTGACTTGGCAATGTGGGCTCTTCTTTGGTTCCATATGAACATTAAAGTAGTTTTTTCCAGTTCTTTGAAGAAAGTCATTGGTAGCTTGATGGGAATGGCATTGAATCTATAAATTACCTTGGGCAGTATGGTCATTTTCACGATATTGATTCTTCCTATCCATGAGCACGGAATGTTCTTCCATTTGTTTGTGTCCTCTTTTATTTCGTTGAGCAGTGGTATGTAGTTCTCCTTGAAGAGGTCCTTCACATCCCTTGTAAGTTGGATTCCTAGGTATTTTATTCTCTTTGAAGCAATTGTGAATGGGAGTTCACTCATGATTTGGCTCTCTGTTTGTCTGACAAAGGGCTAATATCAAGAATCTACAAAGAACTCAAACAAATTTACAAGCAAAAAAACAAACAACCCCATCAAAAAGTGGGTGAAGGATATGAACAGACAATTCTCAAAAGAAGACATTTATGCAGCCAACAGACACATGAAAAAATGCTCATCATCACTGGCCATCAGAGAAATGCAAATCAAAACCACAATGAGATACCATCTCACACCAGTTAGAATGACAATCAATAAAAAGTCAGGAAACAACAGGTGCTGGAGAGGATGTGGAGAAATAGGAACACTTTTACACTGTTGGTGGGACTGTAAATTAGTTCAACCATTGTGGAAGACAGTGTGGCGATTCCTCAAGGATCTAGAACTAGAAATACCATTTGACCCAGCCATCCCATTACTGGGTATATACCCAAAGGATTATAAATCATGCTGCTATAAAGACACATGCACACGTATGTTTATTGTGGCATTATTCACAATAGCAAAGACTTGGAACCAACCCAAATGTCCATCAATGATAGACTGGATTAAGAAAATGTGGCACATATACACCATGGAATACTATGCAGCCATAAAAAAGGATGAGTGCATGTCCTTTATAGGGACACGGATAAAGCTGGAAACCATCATTCTCAGCAAACTATTGCAAGGACAAAAAACCAAACACCGCATGTTCTCACTCATAGGTGGGAACTGAACAATGAGAACACTTGGACACAGAAAGGGGAACATCACACACCAGGGCCTGTCGTGGGGTGAGGGGAGAGGGGAGGGATAGCACTAGGAGATATACCTAATGTAAATGACGAGTTAATGGGTGCAGCACACCAACATGGCACATGTATACATATGTAACAAACCTGCACGTTGTGCACATGTACCCTAGAACTTAAAGTATAATAAATAAAAAAAAACAAGAAGCTAGTAAGATGTGACTCCATGACATCTAGTAAACCTTTCCAAACAAATCAACATATGTCACAGTAAGTTATAGAAGGCTGGTATTAAAAGCGAATGGGATGAACCCTAGGACCAGCAGGAACACTACAGAATTCTTCCGCCCATCCCTCCTTCACTTCTTGAGAATTAATTGTTCTCTTTAGGCAGAATAGTTTGAATGCTCAGACATCAGCTTTGATTTTTTCCTTTCATTCCTTCAATTTGTCTAGACCAGTGACTCTCAAATCTTAGTGTGCCTAAGAAGTACTGTAGTATTGGGGTTGAGGGTAAAAGGGGGACTTCAATTTATCTGCAATGTATTTTTTCTCTTATTTAAAAAAAATGAAGCAAACATGACAAAATATTAACAGGATGATGAAAACAAGTGTTCATTACATCCATCTTTGAATTTTTCTTTAGTTTAATTTTTTTCAAAATAAAGAATAACATTTACATAATCTCAGTTCAGGGTTGAATATACCTCATGGGGCATTTAGAGGATTTTCAGGAGTAATTATGACTCCCATGGTTTTGCCTGATACACACCTTTTATGTCTCACCCCCATATAAGATGCAACCACACTTAATAACATCCTCCAGAAAAGGTTTTACTGGCCAAAAGCACCCAGGTCCTCCAAAAGTTGATGTCCTTGGGCCTAACATTGCCTTCACCTTGTTATTTCCTGGCTGTAGGACTATAGGGTCAACATCTTCCTGCGGCAGCAATGGAACGACCCCCGCCTGGCCTATAATGAATACCCTGACGACTCTCTGGACCTGGACCCATCCATGCTGGACTCCATCTGGAAACCTGACCTGTTCTTTGCCAACGAGAAGGGGGCCCACTTCCATGAGATCACCACAGACAACAAATTGCTAAGGATCTCCCGGAATGGGAATGTCCTCTACAGCATCAGGTGAGTTCTGACCAGGTTCACCCACTCCCTGCTCAGAACATGTCTTGCCCCACTACCTTCTGGGCATAGACTCTAAAAGAGGGGCCAAACAGAGGTGAACAGGCCCTGGCAACCCAACACCTTTGCAGAATAGGTAGACCCAGCTCTGTAACTTATACTCGGCAAGTAAGAATAAAATACAATGGGGCATTTTATTCAGGAGCCAATGATTTATTATAACCAAGGAGACTAAGAAAGCCATCCTAGAGAAAGTGGGGTTGAAGTTACTCAGCATTTCAATCAAACAAGATAGGAAAGAGTATTCAAGCATGATTACCAATAATAGCAGGAACTAAGGCATAAAGCCTAGAAAATCACAGCAACTTCAAAGTAAATGAGCCTGCCAGGTGGATGGTGTTGCTCACGGTCAAGGCCAGGGATACTCCCTTCTATAAAATCTATCCCCCAAACTTTGCACTGGGTCTAGGGGTTTAGATTTCCTTCTCCAGATGTGGAGTATCCTTGAGATATTGGCTAGGGGCAAAGCCTTCAGAGTCTACTGCCACCCCTCCACACCAAGTCCCTGATCTCCTCTCCTAAGGCATAAGGAAAATGACCAATGTCCAAGAGGTGAAAAAATGTCCTTACACATGTAATAATAACAGCTACCATTCATGAGAATTCACTAACTATGCCAGGTACTTTTCATGTGTTATATCCAGCCCTCCTAATAACCCCATGAAGCAGGTTTTACCAGGCCCATTTTTCAGATTAGACAAATGAGAATCAGAAAAATTTAAGTAACCTGCCAAAGTTTCCAGTTTGTTAGTAGCAGAGCCTAGATTCTAATCTATATTAGTGTGAATCTGATGCCCTCTCAAAGTCCTATAGCAGTGCATGGCATTCAATAGGCACTCAAATATTTGATCAATATATGAATATGTTTTTATTTCAAAGAGCTTAAAAAAGGGCGCTGGTCCTAAATGTCTTCTCCTCCTGCTCCAGTCCTTCAGGGAAACACGTTTTTTTTTTCCTTTGGGTGATGAGCCTTAACTGTCCAGGCCTGTGGGAGAGGCTGTACAGATCCTAACCCTCAGGTTTGACTGAACTCGGTCTTTCCTGAAAGCAGGCTGGGTAGGGGAGGGAGCTTAGGAACCTCATCATCAAGAGCAGGCTTGGAGGAACCCGAGGCTTACATGGCCTTCCTCGCTCAGGAGCCCACCTTCCCATCCCCTCAAGTAAACATCCAGACTGGAAGAGTGACAGGCTTAGGAAATGGCCATCCAGGCCCAGCTGGCTGCGGGGATGGTAAGGTCAGCCTGCTTGGATTTTGCTGCTGCCAGACTAATTTCCTATCTCTAGGAAGCTAAGTCCTGGTACAGCATGATAGGACAAACCAGCAGAAAGTGACATTTCCAAGGTCATTCGACTTCAGGAAATTAACCCAGTGTGACAGCTGCCCCACTTTGGAGCTTTTATCTGCAGAAATTCAACTGCATTCACTTTCTCTTCACTTTTTCCCTCCTTCCACTCCCTTCTTTTGCCTCTTCTTCCTCAGCCTCTCCCTTCCATTTTTCCCCTTTTGCTTCAACCTTGTGCTTAAAGGGGCCCACATCCAGAGCTGTGGGTGTGAGCTGGAGGAAGGAAGTTCACAAAGGGCTGTGTACCTCATCACATGCAGCCAAAGTGCCAGTTCAGGTCCACTAGAACACCACCAATTAGGTATCTTAGGGTATTGGGGTTGGCTTTGCAGGAGAGCAGTGCTGCCAGCAAACACCTGAGTCAACCCCACCATGGGACTCAGAATCCAAAGGCCAGGACACATGGTTTTGAATCCTGGCTGATGTATCAGCTTGCTGTGTGACTTTAGATGACTCTCAACCTATCCCTCTCTGCACCCTGGGTTTCTCACCTGTCACATGAGGGAGTTGCCTTGATGATCTAAGGCTCTTTGGGCTCTGAAAGCCTTTCTTCTCCATCCCCTGCAGCAGGCACTCAGATGTTGGAAAAGCCTTTCAAGCTGGAGTCTTGTATTCCAGCTTGAGCTGCAGGCCTCAAATTCTGTTGAGAGGACTCCCTCTGGTTCTGAGTCTGTGGCCTCTGTCAGGGTTGAACAACCAAAATAAACAGCTAGCCCAGAATCCTGAGGAGCCCACCCCTTTCCAGTCGACCCCAGCATGAGCCTACTGATGTAGTCAACTGTGTCTGGACACCCAGAAGGCAGAGGGCCTCTTTGAAATAACCTTTGATGAGCCCTGTGTGTGAAGAAGGTAGCCAAGAACCACTTGCAACACCTGCTGCAGGTGCACATGGGTGCTGCTCAACTTAAAATTTGAGCTCTGTCCCTACCTGAGGGCTATGCAGAAGAGTAAGGAACAGGGGCAGCCCCTGGCCTCCAGGCAACTTGCTAAAGACAGGTCTCCAGAGGCCAGAAAGACTCCAAAAAACCCAGAAGTTCCCTGACTGTGTCACTTGAGGCAACCTATTTTTACCTCTCTAAACCTCCATTTTTCAATCAGGAACTTGGAAATACACACATAATTATTTAATAAACATGAGTTGTCCACACCCACCGCCACCCAAAGGTGCTGCATCCCAGCAGCCATCGGGGGCTTTGTCTAGGCTGGGCAAAGTTGGCTGGGAGACCAGATGGCCACCAGGTCACTGAGGTGGGGTGGGAAAAGAGGTTTGTCGCTGCTTCAGGCCTGGGCCCAGCTGGTGGGAGCCACAGCAAGGCCTTTGGGAGCCTGGAGGACAGAGCCTGCCGCCAGGCCCGGGCCCCCAGCTCATCTGCACCTCCAAGGCCAGAGGGCCTGCAGGTCCCCAAAGCAGCTGACTGCACTCTGCTTCCCACCATGCTTCCTGCCAGAACTCCTTGTGGATTTTTTATCCTTCAGTTTTGCTAAATTCCTTTATTTGTGTTAACAGTTTGTATGTGTGTGTATGTAATTTGCAGGGCTTTCTATATATGAAAATCATGTCACGGCCGGGCATGGTGGCTCATGCCTGTAATCCCAGCACTTTTGGAGACTGATGTGGGAGGACTGCTTGAGCCTGGGAGTTCGAGACTAGCCTGGGCAACATGGCGAGACCCCGGTCTCTACAAAAAAAAATTTAAAAATTAGCAGGCATGGTGGCAGATGCCTATGGTCACATCTACTCTGGAGGCTGAGGCAGGAGAATTGCTTGAGCCCAGAAAGTCAAGACTGCAGTGAGCCATTATTGCATCATTGCGCTCCAGCCTGGGCCACAAAGAGAGATCTCATCTCTCAAAAATAAATAAATAAACAAAAAAACAAACACAAGTTCCCTGACCTTCTTTCCCTATCCTGGGCAACTGATTTTCTAACAATAACTAGAATAGAGGCACAGCCTCCCTGATGTGCAGATCCTGCATCATTCAAAATCCCTTCTCTTCCCAGAATCACCCTGACACTGGCCTGCCCCATGGACTTGAAGAATTTCCCCATGGATGTCCAGACATGTATCATGCAACTGGAAAGCTGTGAGTGTCTTGCATGAGTCCTCTAGAAAGAACCAGGCTCCTTTTTACCCATGGGATAGGCAGAAATTCCCACACAGCTGCTCCTAACCACTAGACCCCAGG